>NC_000013.11:73711136-73862651 GCF_000001405.40 Homo sapiens | reverse complement strand
CTGTGAAAGTTTTTACTTAACCTTTTGACTCTTTTTTCTTCACGAAACATAGTCGTCTTAAAATTGCACAAAATAAGAGACAAATGTTTTATAGAATTGATTACAGTGATTTCAGTCTTTCCTGATCTGCTGTGGGCATACATTAAAGATTCAGATGTGGGAGTTAGTATTGCATTAATAGTTGAGGCCATGGATTTTATTGCCAGAGATCACTAAAGATTGTATCTTGACATTGTCACTTAATGCCTTAGAACCACTGGCACATTTCTTAACCTCTCCACGTCTGTTTCCTATCTGTAAAATGTGATTCATGATAGTTTTTTATATTGAGATGTTGTGAGGAATAAACAATACACTGTAATGTATGTGCAGCAGGTTTATAATTTTTAGACATGTCTTTTCCCCTTTACATGTTGTAAAACTAATTCAAGTTTGGGGCCTAGATTTAGCTAACAGTAGCATCACATGGGCTGATGTCTGGAATCCTTACTGGAAAGACAGATGCTTAGTGAATTTAGAGATCACAACTGCATTTATGTGTTAAGGTTTTTAACTTAACCTCAATACCCTTTGATTTTTCAAAAAAAAAAAAAAAACCCAACTATATCTGCACTCTTCTGTTTGTACACTTAAGCAAATCTATGAAAACTATTCAATTAATACTTATAATATGAAGGGCTAGGAACACGTAGACACACACATTTGTATATATAGGTAATAAACACTTCAAGTTAATTTTTCTACATATTCTGTCACACACACTCCTTGCATGACTTTTAAGTGCACTACATGCTAAGATGTCACAAGAATACACACATGCCCATCAGCATTCATACCAGTACCTAAGCCGTATTCACATACCCACGGAGGTGCATGTATATATGTTTGGACTCTGTAGATATATTTACATGATTAACACATATGGAAGAGTTAGAGAAGGAAAAATGAGGAAAACGGAATAATTCCACAAATTAAAAAAAAGTAATATATAAGATGTTAGGGGAAAAAGTAGGAAAAAGATGATAGCTTAATCCAGGGTTTCTTTAAACTTCGACACTCTTGGTCTTTTGTCTTTGTCATGGGAACTGTCTTGTCACTGCTTCAATCAAAAATGTCTTCAGATGTTGCTCAGTGTCCCCTGGGGGACACATTACCTGCCATTAATAACTACTCCTTTAGTGTAAATAAGAATGCCAAATAAGAATGCCAATGCAGAAGTTCTAGAAGAATGGAATTAACATGAAGGAGCAGAGCAAGATAAGCCAAAGGGAGGAGAAAGGCAGTTGTAGAGTTCACTGCGCAGGAAGCAGCAGCAGAGTTTGTGGGTTGCTGGTACAGGTAATCCCCACACTGAAAGGATCAGAGTTAGCAGGGGTTTTTTATTGTGGAATGGAAAATTAACAAGAATGGGGTACATGCATTTATCATTGTATCTAGTTACAGGATTTATAACCTTCATGCCATGTATTACACCCCGATTGACAGAAAAAAATGCAGAATCCTAACTAACTTTGAAAAACTTGATAGACATGAAGACTAAGTTTTGGAACCAGAAAGAGTGTTATTTTTTAACTTCCTATTACTGTGACATATTGAGAGATGCTAATTATAAATTTTCTAGTTATAAAAAATGTATTTCAAATTAGCAAAAATACAAAATATGACTCATACATTTGATTTTTAGCCCCTTGGAAGTGTGTCTTTCATCTCTTCTTGTAAAAATCATCTTGTAATACATGGAAACTAGTCACTTAAAGTTCTGTAGTGGGAGGAATTAAATATCAATTGATAAATTTAAATTCTTTAACAAAAGAATGAGGCACTGGAAACTTTCAACTTTCATTTTTATATGTTATAATAAGTTAATATATTTACCGTTTAAGTTTTAGTCACGGGGTAATTAATTCATAGATTTTTTTTCACTCTGTCGCCCAGGCTGGAATGCAGTGATGCAATCATAGCTCAGTGCAGCCTCGATTTTCTGGGCTCAAGTGATCCTTCTTCCTCAGTCTTTGGCATGGCTAAGACTACAGGTGTGCACCACCACACCCAGCTTATTTATTTTTATTTTTTATTTTTAGTAGAGACAAGGTCTCTCTGTGTTGCCCAGGCTGGTCTCAAACTCCTGAGCTCGAGCAACCCTTCGGTCTCGGCCTCCTAAAGTGCTGTGATTACAAGCGTGAGCCACTGCATGTGGCCCGTAGATATATTCAATCTGAGACCCAGTAAGGCCTTTGGGGAGCAACTGGAGCTTTACTAATGAGCTTTAATTAAGTGCTTACTTTGTACTGGGGACTGTGATAGGTGCTTGTCTACAAAAGAACAAGATAAAAATGATATCTTTGGTGGGCCCATGGCCGCCTCGTAAGAGAAAGAAGCACAAAGTTCAGAGTGCTTTGGAAGCACAGAAGAGTGGCATCTAATTTAGAACAGGTGGAATCTGGTACAGCTGGAGGAGATAACAGACACCTGAACTGTGCAAAAGCATGATCAACATCATCTTCAATCAGAAACTGAAGAGAGACAATGAGTGAACTGATCATATAAAACGCAACCCAGACCGGAACTCAGGCATGTATCCTTTTCACAAAACCACACTGCATTTCTTCTCACTTATTGTCCTATTTGCAAAAGTTCCGCTTTATTACATTGGTTTTATCAAAGAGCACTCATCATTGGTCAAAAATAAAACTTTTTTTAAAAAAAGTTATGAGTCTTTAGCTTGAAAGGAAAGGAAGAAAAGAAATTACATTTGTGGTGAGCTGATTTTTCTGCTTACAATGCTAATTGTACTCGCTTTCAAATCTAATGAGGTTTTTGGTTTCGGATTTTTTTTTTTCCATTTTATCCTACCGTCTTTTCTCATTTCTTTCAAACACATATCCCATACAGCATGACCACTGCACAAAATGCAGGATTCTATTCCTAAATGAGGAAGGATTTTTGTTGTCCTTATTTTTCTAAAGGCTGACTTGAGAACAAACGGGAACTAAATAAGAAATAGACATTATGATGTTGGTAACTGACATCTGCATCATGCCATTAAATTTATTATATGCAAGGTATATTGGGGAAGTGGGTTGTAGCTTACAACTATCCTAGCAGTGCCCATTATTTTATATTCTCTTCAGTTGGTATTTCCACGTACTAATTGCACATGAATTCCATGAGGAAATTTCACCAATAAGGACGGGAGGTCTTTCTCTTCCTCTCCAGGGCTGATGCAGGCAGCATGGGGAGGTGGATTCAGTCTTAGGAATTACCCGTAGGTTTAGATTACAGGTCTATGTTCCACTGGGGCCATGGGCAATGTCTTCAACCTCCGTGAGACCGAATTTCTTCACTTGTAAAACTAGAGAGGAAAACTTTACCGGAAGAGAAAGCTCTTGCCTGCCCCTGCTCCCTGTTTTGCATGTGGTCCTTAGAAGCTCTCCCTACCCCACAGACTTTTGTGAACCTGGAAAGCTGCTGAAGACTGAAGTGCATTGGCACCAGTTTCTGTAGATGAGGGAGTTGCTGTCACTTGCCCCAGAAAAGACCTAATGACAGAGAGGCTCCTCCCATACTCCAGCGAAGTGAACCCAGTTTTCTGGGTTTTACCCCACCACCTAATGAGAGCAAAAATGTTTGTCCCGTACACCATCTGCCAGATAATGTTGTAGTAAATATTAATGGTAAATGTTGCTTTTTTTCCTGCGTTTTAAAATCATCAGTTAAAATTGATTTCACAGTCTTTATAACACTTATTTGAACATTTACTTTTTCAGTTTATGCATTCTGAAGACACTGATTTAAAGAGCACAATTCTGTTTTCCTCAAATTAGTTCTTAATGCTCTCCATTTTTATAGAATATAGGGTTGAAACTTTCCCCATTACTTTTCCTTTTCATGTTTTCCAAATGTAGTTCACTTTTAAAAAGTGATGGAAATCTCATTAAATCTCTAGGGGGGAAAATGCTGTTACCAGAGCAAGGGTTAAAAATCCTTTTGTAGCATCCTCAGATTTATCACAATGTTGTGTTGATTATATAGTAATGATCACTAAATAGTTACTGATGGAAAGCTTTTCATCAAAAACAGAAAAGGCCTTGTAATACCCAGATGCTGATAGGTAATTGTTGATGGTAGTTTCTAGAACATGAAATTCTTCGCCCAGTAAATCACCCGGTAATGCAGCAGTTTGGGATTCCCAGGGAACACCATTGTTTTAATCCACTGGGGAAACTAGAATCACATACCTTCAGTTATCAGTTATATTTAGCTGTTTTCCTTAGTTAATTTCAAATTATAAGTGGATGTGTTAATTTTTATGGAAAAATCATGCCACCAGTCTAAAACTTATACTAGTGACACACTTAGCAAATTGAGCTTTTAACAGTATAGAATATTTTCTTCTAATGACATTATTGTTCACTAGGATCTAGAAATATGAAAACCAGATTTTAAAAGCCTCTGCTCCCCTTTTAGATTTCTTTCTCAAAATACTTTTCTTTCTAAAAATATGACTTTTAAAATTTTAAAAGTAGCAAAGATTTGCTGTAGAAAATATAGGAAAAAAGATAAAAAAGAAAATGTAGTTCACCCACAAATTCACTTAATGGAAAAACTATTGTTAACATTCCAGAACATTTTTTTCCATGTATTATTTTCATGTATAAATGAGAATGCTTTGGGGGGACAAAATTAAGCTCATACTTTTTGTATAGTTTTGTATACTAACATTTTTTCACTTAACATTATACAAAAAGTTTCCCTGCCATTGAATATTGTTTCTCAAACTTGTCTGATTATTAGAATTACATATAATGCTTTGTAAACTGTTGATGTCTACACCATACCTACTGCCATAGGTCTCTGTTCTTTGCACCTTTAAAATGTTTCATAAATGGTTGCAGTGAATAGTTAAGGTTAAAATCTTGGTTTCAAACTTGATTGCTTTTATGTCCATGTTTTGGTTTCTAATTTTTACTCCCCAAAATAAGACAAAGTTACGCATCCATATAGACATCTTTCTCAAAATTTAAAATTGCCATCTGTGTCTAAATGTAAGTCCCTGCAGTAAGTTAGCCCTATTTCCCCAGGAAGGAAATTTTGTAACCAACTAGAATGTATAAATGTGTAGATAATTTCACCTTAAGAGTGTTAATATTTGAATGTATTAGTTAAAAAACAAATTCCGTCACATTTTATACAAAAATATATAAATTTTAACATATGAAGTTTCCCTAGACTCTCAAATTTTATGTCATTATTTCATTCAGTATCTTTACAAGCAATTTCAACATCATTTTCTGTGTCCTCACCAGGCCCCTTTTTAAGTCATCTAACAAAGTTTTCTAGAACACGTCATCTTGATTCTTGTCCAGTTTGCTGTAGATACAGTGCTATTTAAATCAGTGATGTTGCCCCTGGGATGTTCTCTCAAAACAATCTGAAGTGCTTATTTGCATGAAATTGAAATGGTTGCTATATATGTAATCTTTCAAACATAAAGACTGTCTTTAGAAAGCTGCTTCTGGTGTTCCAACACTTGAAATTGTGAGATCATTCCATGGGAATCATGACTAAATCTGCCTTAACTTTCCTTGACTCCTTTTTTATTTTGTTTTAAAATTTATTTAATTTTAATTTTAGTTTATTATATTTTATCTTATTTTATTTTTTGAGACAGGGTTTCACTCTCTCACCCATGTTGGGAGTGTGATGGCGTGATCTCGGCTCACTGCAACCTCCTCCTCCTGGGTTCAAGTGATTCTCATGCCTTAGCCTCTGGAGTAGCTGGGACTACAGGCAAACGCCACCACACCCAGCTAATTGTTGTATTTTTAGTAGAGACGGTTTCACCATGTTGACGAGGCTGGTCTCGAACTCCTGAGCTCAAGCAATCTGCCCACCTCCGCCTCCCAAATTGTTGGGATTACAGGCATGAGCCACTGCTCCAGGCCCTTTTTTTGTTTGGTTTAAATAGTATTTGCTTGAGGGTGCCACTTCCAAACATTACCTTATTTTTTAAAGTTGAGTAGTTAGGGATAGATGTTGAATGGATTCTGAATATAGGGTCACTCCTCTGCTCAAGAGGTGACTGTGCAAGTAGGTGGGTGGCTGGGTGCGTGTATGGAGGAGGGAGGGTGGGAGGAAGAGAGGAAGATGGCAGTTCCTAGATTCTTAAATGTGTAGTTATTAGTTCTAAGGTATTTTAAGACTTTTGAGACAGTTCAACAGGATTCCTTAAAACGCGTACCTTCCTATCTTGTAGCATAATATTGGTGTCAGTTTTCCTACATCCTTGTCAGCATTGCTGTGATCATTTTTTAAAATTCTTGTTTCTGATGGATAAGCATCCCAGCCAAGAGGAACATTGAGCTGAGGGTCTTCGTGTCACTGTAACTCACACCTGATTAGCAGAAGCTGTGGCTGGCGGGCATGGCCCCCTTTTCGGGAACATCAGTTGTCCTCCTTTCTGCCTCCCTGTGCCTGCCTTCATCTCTAAGTCCCCAGCCTGGCTCTTTTCCCATTTTGCTTATGCTGCTGTCTTGACCAGTCTAGGCAATGGGGGCTTGATTTGTACAATTTATTCTCCTACTTAAATGCATTAATTACATATACCTGTGTGTGCCTGGTGGCAGTTGTAGTCCAAAAAGGGCCCATTACAACAGCCTTAGATAGTGTCACCCTCTGGGATCCTCAGAAACACCTGTATGACTGTATACTCCTTTACCTGGAAGACAAAAGCCAAGGCTAAAGTGTTGGTTTATGTGAATGTATTTTATTAATTTCATAGTGAGTTGAGATGCAATTAAATTCACTGCTCAATCAAATCACAATGAGATGCCATATCACAATGAGATGCCATGTCATACCAGTCAGAATGGCTTTTGTTAAGTAAACAAAAGTAACATATTTTGGAGGGACCCCCAGAGAAAATGAGGTGCTTATACGCCCTTGGTTGGGAATGTAAATTAGTCCAAGCACCGTGGAGAGCAGTTTGGAGATTTCTTAAGTAAGAGCTGGACTACCATTCGGCCCAGCAATCCCATTACTGGTATATACCCAAAGGAATATAAGTCATTCTATCAAAAAGACACATGTATCCATATATTCATTGCAGCACTATTCACAATAACAAAGACGTGGAATCAACCAAGATGCCCACCAGCAGTGGACTGGATAAAGGAAATGTGGTACATATACACCGTGGAATACTATGCAGCCACACACACACACAAAAACGAAATCATGGCCTTTGTAGCAACATGGATGAAGTTGGAGGTCATTATCCTAAGCGAACTAACATGGAAACAGAAAACCAAATACCACGTGTTCTCACTTATACATGGGAGCTAAACATTGAGTACACATGGACACCAAGATGGCAACTATAGACTCTGGGTACTATTGGGGGTGGGAGGCAAGGATTGGAAAACTATCTGTTGGGTACTGTGCTCACTACCTGATGATGGGATGAATCGTAACGCAAATCTCAGTGTCACATAATATACCCATATAACAAACCAGCACATATACTCTGTGATTCTAAAATAAAATTTGAAAAATAAATAAATCCACTGCTCATGGAAAAGTTCTGGGGCCTTTCAAAACTCTGGCTTTTCTATTTGTGACACTTACCCATTGCAGCTGCCTCTGTTTCCAGGAGAGGTAGGAAAAGAGAGATTTCTCTCCACTTCACCATTAGTCTTGCCTTGGCCTGGTGGTGTATCTCTCTTTAAAAGTGTTTTCTATTAGAAGACAAGTATATACAGTTGTCCCTCGATATCCCTGGATTCCACATCTGCGGATTCAACCAACTGCAGATTGAAAGTTTTAGGATTGGAGAGATAATGAAAACATACGAAATGACAACTGTTCACATTGTATTTACATTGTGTTAGATGTTATAAGTGATGTGGAGATAATTTAAAGTATATGGGGAGATTTGTGTAGGCCGTATGCAAATACTGTGCCATTTTATATCACGGATTTGAGCATCTGTAGTTTTGGTATCCTTGGTGGAGGGGGGTCCTGGAACCAATCCCCCATGGATACTACCAAAGGAACCACTGGGTTATCCAAAAAGCAAAGCCATTGTTTTGCTAATATGCCTTTGTTTACATAAAAAGGTTACAGTTTTGCTTTACATGTTTATCCTGTGTAGGAGTTTTTAAATGTATCATTTGACTGTTACAGCCACTCTGAGGTCAAGTTTTCTTTCTCTGAAATTTGATATACTTCAATACTATGAGATACTGTTGTAAGAAATAACTGTTTATGGTGAACATTTTATAGAATCAAAAGCAGGGCCCATCTGGTAGCAGAGATTAATCTGTTCGAGGATGATAAACATTATTGCATATTTTAAAATATGTATCTAGCACAGAACATTTGCCTCAGGCACTGGAGTGAGATTGTGGTTTAGGATAAAGATTTATCCCCTAAAAGTCTATACAACAGGTTTTTCTGGCAGTATAGTGAAATTTTAATTAATATTTTAAGTCATGCAATGAATAATAACATTAATTTAAAACCAAAAGAACAAAATTCTAATCATGAGGAAAAGATAACCCTATAATAGTTACCTCTTTATTTTTAAGACATTTTTGTGTGCTTTGTGAAATGTTGTTTAAAAACAATTGCAAGATAATAGGACTTAATCCAGCTTCCGTTTTTGACCTGTTATAGTGATACTACTACTTCTTCTGGCCATATAAGTAGGATTTAAAATTCAAAACATCTTGAGCACCATATTCCAAGCTAACAAGTGTGATGTATATTCCCTAGTTATATGGTAAAAGAAAATATCTTCTATTTGCTAAAGGTTTGTGTATTTATCTGGAACACATTTATGTTCCCGTTTAAAAATGTTTGTCCATGTTTTCAGTCCTTGGGAATGTCTGCTTACCATTTTTTTTTTTTTTTTAGACAGGGTCTCACTCTGTCGACCAGGCTGGAGTGCAGTGGCGCAATCTCAGCTCACTGCAACCTTCACCTCCCAGGTTCAAGCGATTCTCCTGCCTCAGCTTCCCTAGTAGCTGGGATTACAGGCGCCCACCACCACACTCTGCTAATTTTTGTATTTTTTTAGTAGAGACAGGGTTTCACCATGTTGGTCAGGCTGGTCTTGAACTCCTGACCTCAGATGATCTGCTGGCCTCAGCCTTGGCTAGGATTACAGGTGTAAACCACCACGCCTGTCCTGCTTACCAATTTTAGAATGCATGAACAAAATTCCCTGTCTCCTCCTCACTCACTCACACCAACCTAAAGTCATCACACACATGGGCCAAACCAGAGTTTCAGAGTAGCAGTCAGCTGTAAACATAGATTCTGATTTGCTTCAGGTAAATAATATGATTTATGAAAGTCCTGGTAAATAGGTCATGAAAAAATATAACTATTAGGAAGTAAGAGAACTTTAGGATAAATTTAAATGTGTGTATTGAACACATTTTAAAGGTTAGCATTTTCAATTCAATTCATATGTAAAAAAGCATTAAAAATGTAGGCTCACGCCTGTAATCCCAGCACTTTGGGAGGCCGAGGGAGGCGGATCACGAGGTCAGGAGATCGAGACCATCCTGGCTAACACGGTGAAACCCTATCTCTACTAATAATACAAAAAATTAGCCGCATGGTGGCGGGCGCCTGTAGTCCCAGCTACTTGGGAGGCTGAGGCAGGAGAATGGCATGAACCCGGCAGGCGGAGCTTGCAATGAGCTGAGATCGCGCCACTGCACTCCAGCCTGGGCGACAGACCAAGACTCCGTCTCAAAAAAAAAAAAAAAACATAAATGTAAAAGCACAGAGAGTACATTATTTGATGTATAGACTTCAAATTTTCTTAAGGAATCAATCATTTCTGTTTTGTTTTGTTTTGCTTTGAGATGGAGTCTCGCTCTGTCACCCAGGCTGGAGTGCAGTGGCACGATCTCGGCTCACCACAACCTCTGCCTCCTGGGTTCAAGTGATTCTCCTGCCTCAGCTTCCCCAGTAGCTGAGATTACAGGCACGCGCCACCACGCCCGGCTAATTTTTGTATTTTTAGTAGAGACTGGGTTTCACTATGTTGGGCTGGTCTTGAACTCCTAACCTCAAGTGATCCGCCGCCTCAGCCTCCCAAAATGTTGGGATTACAGGCGTGAGTCACCGTGCCTGGCCGGAATCAATCATTTCTTAAACTGACAATTGACATATTGATATAAGGCAGTTGAATTAAATATTTATTCAAATATCTTCCCCTTGCATGCAGTAGATAACTCATTCAAACCAAATTCCAGGTTATCAGTGTAGGATATTTCTACTTGTTTCCTTTTACTCTGTCATCTGTACTTTTAGAGGAAGTACAATTTATCTTTCTTTAGTATACTTTGCTTTACGTTTTTGTCAGTTTTATAAATTCACACTTTTACGGCATTTATGTTTAAGAGTTTGCCCTTGAACATGTAAAGAAGAATCACTGAGCTGAAAGCAAGGTAAATTATGACCATGGGGGCTCATGCAAGACAAATATTGAAAAATAGGCTTCCCTTTTTAGTAATACAAAAGAATAGAGGAAAGTGAAATGCATACTCCATTCACAAATGGATGTGTGGTGACTTTTATACTTGTAGCAGAAATAGCCAGAGTTGCGGGATGCTTCTTTTAAGAATGGTGCTCATCTCTTAAAACCATTTCATTTACTACTAATAAAAAATTGTATTTACTAAGGGAAACCCAGGCACCAAAACTAAGCCATGTACCTACTGTGCACTTCATGTTCAAAAGGAATTTGGCTCTTCACCTAAAATATACTAGTCTTTAAAATAATGCAGCGTAACCTAAAAGCTCCAAGGATGTGGAGTCATAGATTTAGTTTAATTCCTTTTTAATGTGAAATAGAGTAAATTTCTTTAAGCACTTCCTATAAAAGGTACATGTTCAATTAATCACTAAGTCACACAGTGAAATTTATGTAAACTAATTTTCTACCAAGACACAAGAAACAAATATGCTCCTGTATTGTCTCATAATAAGACTGCTAAAGAATGACCAACATCCCAAAGCAATTATTTGAATCTATTTGTTATATTATTGTCATAATGGATGCACACTGAAGTGTGGATTGATTTAAGTTATTTATACTGTGGAATTAAGAAATCAGGCCAGTCAGTTAAAATGTATTCCATCAACTGTTACATGATCTTCCTGTGGGCCAATCTAACTCAGCTAGAAAGTAGAGGAAAAAAAAGTATCAAATGACAGTTGTCTATATTTTAAGAGAAAATTGTTTCTAAATAATCATAAGAGATCCCTAAAGATGACTTGTTCAGCTTTTTGTAACATGTATTTATTTGGTTCAGTAAACACTGTGCCTCCGCAATGACTGTATTTATGAGATTCTGTGTCAGAATATATCTTACGCTACATTCAGTGAGTCAAGTTCCTCCTGAGATAGTTTTAGTAATAGAGTAAGTTCTGTTTGGAATTTTTAGTTCTAACCGGAGGAAGTTCTGCTCATTTGCTTGTCTCTCTCATTTCTCAGTATTACTTAAAAAGCACTTAATGCCATTAACCCAATCTTCACAACCGTTGTATGAGTTTGGAATTAACATCACACTTTTATAGATGGATAAGCTAAGACCTAGAGAATTTTCGTGATGATACCAAGATCGCACAGCTAATAAACAACAAGGATTGGTGATGAATCTAAGTCTTTTGTGTCCAAATAAAATTTTCTTTGTATAATATCACACAACAGGATACAAAACAAAGATTCTTGTGACAGTTAAGCCATGAGCTATGTAATGTTAGGCAAGTTACTTTATAATCTTTTCTAAAAATTGCCATGAAATTATTTCTCAACACATTTGTAAAAGTAAAATGGAACATAATTTATTTAAATGACCGATGACTGAAAGGATAGATAGATAGCTGGGACCATCTTGTGTGTACGTGTGAATGCCCATGTATGTCAGCCCCATCTCTAAACATTGCTGGTGTTACTAAAGAGGAAAGAGCATGTGAATCTTGAACGACATTTAGTAGAATATTATGCATTGCTCCTCAGCTCTGACTACACAGAAAAATCCCTGGAGGGGTTTCCAAAGATAGAGTAGTATCCGGACATATTTTTCTTTCTTTTTAAATTCCAGGTGATTAAAATATACGACCATCATTTAAAATTGTTTTGTTCACAGACAGACTGTAATAAAATTCAGTTGATAGCAATAGATAACTGTAGGAAACACATCTAGTACTCTGGGAACTAACAAGTAGGAGGTTTTAGATTCATTTGACATTCATTCAACAAAATGCCTAAAGCTGAAATTACATTTTAAGATGTTTATTCAGGAAAAAAAAGTTATCTGATTAGAAAACCTCAAATGTAATTTCCAGATCACTCAAAAAAAACATGTTCACTGGAATGTTATATGTAATATTTTATCAAGTGGGTTAATGTGAGTAAAACTGGCTTTGAGACTTTTGGAGAAAAGACAATGTGACAGCATAATCCTTATGTTTATCTTTAGGTTTTCACACACATTGTTTTTAATGAAGTATATTGTTCCATTTACTTTTCTGGCCTTTTGTGTGTATTTGTGCAATTATTTAATATGTATTATAAAAATTTAAGTTTTACAGTGTACCTTTTCAAGGAATATTATATAATCTTTTGGAAAATGAAATTACTCTCCTCTTTGACAAAAATCCAGTGTTCTTATACAATCTTCATGTTGTTAGAAGGAGGGTTTTAGCATGAATATGAATACAGTAAGTCTTCTATCTTTCATACCAGGGACATCAACAGCAAAAATTCAGCTATAGTCACCACTCCCAGGCAAAGATCATGATGGGCTTTTATTTAAAAACAAACAAAAAAACCCCACTTAGTTGACACTGCCATGAGAATTCATTAATGAATCAAGAATTGAGGAGTTACTAAACAAGGGCAAAATGTTAGTATGGAATTCTTTGTCCTTTTTGCAGAAGTGTCTCTTCCTTGTGCTTAAAACTTACGACCTTTCTTTGTTGTTTCTCCTCTTTTCAGTGTTCTTATCCCCTTTGAGGCTGGTTCCTGAGTGGCATACCCCGTATCTCCTCTCGCTTTCTCTAATACTTGTAATCCTTTCATTTAATTTTCACTATTCTAAGTATTTCTTACTTGGGATTCTTTCCTTTGTATCTCCTCAGCCTTCGTTCCCCCTTGTGGCCATTTGTAGTGCTCCCTTCCTGTCAGCACAACCACACATTTACAGATGCAAATCTCAGAACCAATGCTTTTTTTTTTTTTTTTTTTTTTTTTATGGAGTCTCCCTCTGTTGCCCAAGCTGGAGAGCAGTGGCATGATCTTGGCTCACTGCAGCCTCCACCTCCTGGGTTCAAGCGATTCTTCTGCCTCACCTTCCTGAGTAGCTCGGATTACAGGTGTGCACCACAAAACCAATGCTTTTGATTTTCCATTTCCTAAAAGTAAAGAAATGAATTTCTAATGATGATTTCAGGAGTAAGACTTTTGGGTCGTTTTTCTTCCCTAAAAGGAGGAACACAAGTATGTGCCATAGCTGTTTTGAGACCATATTTTTGCAGTACTTCTGGCTTTACAGATATGTCTGTGTAATCTGAAGCTGCAATTATGGATGACTTTACCTGCACCATAATCATTGCATAAGAGATTAGTGTCGGCTGTCAGGATATGCTGCTGTGTCAACGCTGTAAACAGATGAATGGTACAAGAAGGATTTTGTCCTGTTTATACTGATGAAGCATTATTTTTGAGTGTGCTAGCTGCATTTCAGCTGCCACATATGAAAAAGGACCAGCGTCTGTCTCTGTGATTTTACAAATTCATGTGTAATTTGTAGAAGGTTCTCAATAAGATTTCTTTGGTCCCAAAGTTTGGTTTATTCTTCCTTATTTTTGTGAGCCTTTTCTATATTCTGGTTTGAGCTCATGCAAAAGCCATGTAATTCTTAAGTGTCTCAAAGTACCTAGGGGCTCTTAATATTTGGCTTCACAAGTTTCTAATGAAAGCTAATATGCATTAGCTAAAATATATAGCTATATATTATATATGCTATATGTATTATATATAATATGCTATATATATGTTATATATATTATATATAATATATAGCTAATATTATTTATGAGGTATAACCCTGTTGTTCATAGCAACAAGATGTTGTTATGAAACTTCTTAAGAGGTAAATATTTTCCTCAGTAAGAGATTAAGAAGATACCCACAAGAGGTAGACTTGTGTGATAAACAAAGATAATTTAGAGAAGACTAAGCAGTCTGCAAAGCTCAGTAAAACTTGGTGCCTCACAAGCAATCTCCTTACAGATAAGGTCCGCATTTATCAGCTCCCCCTCCTGTATTGTCTGTCTACCCAGTCAACTTTCATTTACATTATAGAACATTTCTGCAGTGATGTACTCTTTACTCCTTGATTTGTAAATGTATGTAGGAATCTTGTGTCTAAGTAGACAGGAGGAGAAAAATTTGTGGTGGAAGTAATCACTCTCTCTAAAATAAGAATTTTTGATATGTTGATACGGTAAAAGGAGAAAAACTTACCTAGACTATATTTAAAGTCAAACTAGTGGTGTTTAATAATATGTGCTTACTGATATGTTTTATCTTTTAATGACAAACTAGTTGATGTCTTTTATGAAAGCAACCTAAGCAAAGAATTTCTATGTGGGTATAATATAGTAATAAGAAACATTTTGCATTATTCTACAAAGAAATAAAATGATAATGCTGAAATTGAAATACTGTTCTAGTTACAAGAGTAGATAATGCTAATAGCTTTTATCAAAGCAGTTCAATTTATGGTGTTTGTTTTTTCTTTGTTTTTTAAATGTCTTTGAAAAGATTAAAAATTTATTTCTCAATTTCAGCACATAAACTGAAAATCTTGTCATTTAGAATTTCATACAGTAGATATTTTAGATGACTCATTTTAATTGTTTCTAAGTCATTTGTTTTTATAGGTAAGTAACCATGTTAGCTAAGAAAAAGGAAAAACAGCATTAAAACATCAACCCATTTCCTATTTTAGTTGATCTGGTACCATTACTGATTTATTTTCTTTCTTTTCTCAGTTGCTGAGTAAAATGCCCGTGTGCTACTGCCTATTGTATGTTTTGAATGGAGCTGTAATTTATATTCTATTTTAAAAAGGCTTTAGGAAACATGTTTCATTCCTTTAAATGTATGCCGAAGTTTTAGGGGGAATAGCACACCAAAATCTTTTATTAAATGAGGAACAAAATGAACCAATTTAATATAATTTTAGGTATTGTTCTGATCCATAAAAAGTGAAAAAAAGTTTTTGTTCCTCATAAATGGGAAAATAATGTCTATGTTAACCTGGCCAAACAGATGTAACCAAAATAATCAGTAGAGTCTAATTCTCTCTTTTTAGTCTAGACTGACACCACTAATAGTACTCTTATGCCATTTGGGGACTTGCAAGCAGACATTTCATAAATGTTTGTTGAATTTATGAATGAATAGATATATGAGTAAAATTATATTCATGCAAATAATAGCATGCTGATCACATTAGTCTGGGTAAAATCTTGGAGTCTATTATTATCAAATTTTGCTCATTAAAACTTAAAAGAGTGCAGGTGAACTTGAACAACATTATCATCATTATTTCAGATTAAATGAAAATTCATAGACAAATTATAATTTTCAGGATAAGTTTTTCTTAAATTATTATTTCCTAAAATGTCACTTGTAGTTGTGCACATTATTTTGAGAAGAGTTAGCTAATTATTAGAAATGACTTCCATTTAATAAATTAGTGATCAGGTGTGGGAGGTTGAAGAACTTTATGCCCTTTTTTAATGCTCAGAATATACTGAGTATGGTATGGTAACTCTTGCAACAAGTATGAAAGTAGAAATGTCATAGTGAGTTTTCCCACTATTGTTGCCAGGTAATATGTTTCCGTATTGTGATAGTGTTGAGTAAGGGTTAGAATCCTAGAGATTCATATGGCCTCTTTTCTCCTTCATAGAGCACTGATTTCATAGTATTTTAATAATTGTCTATCTGTCCCAATGGAATGAAAATGTCTTTATGGTAGAGGCCTTATTCTGTTTTGTACTCTTATGCCCTCAGTTTTAATCACAGTGACTGTCTCTGAGCAATCCTTCAGATATTTGGAGAACGAATAAATGTCCCATAGCAATAAGAGAAAAAGTAATAAACGTTCAAGTGGTAAGCCATGCATCGATAAAATGTGTGATAAACAAAGATAAATATATGTTCCATTTTTCTCCCCACAGTCTCCAAACGTCCACAACTATCCCGATATGGAAGCCGTTCCCCTGTTGCTAAATAATGTGAAAGGGGAGCCCCCGGAGGACTCGTTATCTGTAGATCACTTCCAAACACAAACTGAGCCAGTGGACTTGTCAATAAACAAAGCCAGGACGTCCCCTACTGCCGTTTCATCCTCCCCAGTTTCCATGACAGCATCTGCCTCCTCACCTTCTTCAACTTCAACCTCTTCATCGTCTTCTAGTCGTCTAGCCTCATCCCCAACTGTTATCACATCAGTATCTTCAGCGTCATCTTCGTCAACAGTATTAACTCCAGGGCCCCTTGTGGCCTCTGCATCTGGTGTTGGAGGCCAGCAGTTTTTGCACATTATCCATCCCGTACCGCCTTCAAGTCCCATGAATTTACAGTCTAACAAACTGAGTCATGTTCACCGCATCCCCGTGGTGGTACAGTCGGTGCCTGTTGTCTACACAGCTGTAAGGTCACCTGGAAATGTGAACAACACTATTGTCGTGCCGCTTTTGGAGGATGGGAGAGGCCATGGCAAAGGTAAGAGACATAAACAAGCCTTGATTTATTTCAGCACTAGAGGTGACTTCATTTTTGCAGTGAACAAAACCTAAATTGTATACAAACACTACATCTAAAGAAGTTCTGTGTAGAGCAACGTGGAGACACCAGCTGTTCAGCCTTAAGTAGAACACAGTTTAGAGGGAACTCACCCTATGTTTATGTAGGTATATGCTCCAGTTTTGCTTAGTGTATTTTTACTTACCATAGGTCACGTAATGTTAGAATTCAGATATCTAAGTTTGCAAAATAATACTTGCTTTGAAATGCTCTTAAGTCCTCAGTTGGAAAGGGCAATCTATGGTGAACATAATTGCTTATGAAGTATAAATTACTGATTATGAATTGTAAATTTTTTTAAGTAAATCCGGATGTTTCTTTGTTGAGTTGTTCAGTTGGAATTTATTTAGGTGATAATAATATACAATGTTGTGAAGTTGCAGTGCCTGGAATCTAATCATTCACTTTTGAGTAACCTATAAATTAAGTTGCCATTAAAATAATTCTAGAATTAGGTGTTTGACTATAGTAGTATCATGTAGCTTGTGTTACTAACTTCTTATAAGGCTAAGTTATTATTTTAAGGGACAGGATGACTCAATATACTGGAAATATTTCAAGATGCAATATTAATATTCCCTTTTAGGGTAGAAGGCAGGAAGATAACTTTGCTACATGACTATGTGTAATCATCACTAGTTATTTCATTAAATTTGATAGTTATGCAGCTGGTCATGAAGTTATTTTCTTCTTCTAAGTTCTTTTTTTTCCCTGAATTTTACTAGAAGAAATTGCGGTGGCATCATGCTGTCTTTTCTCTTTCTTCACTACCCATGAATCTAAAAACCAAGCCACCCCTCAATAGAAATGCAGAATGCCCATAATCATTGACTTATTCCCTTTTAAAGTAAATAATATGTATGTACTTTGCCTTCAGAGCCTAGAAATAATGATGGATTAAGATTTATGTTGTATTACTTTTTGCTTTGACACTATATTACTACTGAGGCCTGTAATTAAAATATGATCGATGAGTACATAAAACACTGCCTTCTCATAAAATGCTAGTAAATATGGTTGTTTTGGTTCTTGTATGAGGTGGGAATAAATACATTTGATTGATTGTGAACTTACAGAAATTTTTGCAGGTATGAATTACAAAATTGTGCATTCACCATTAGCAAGGTATTGTTTTATCTGCAGTGAGTTTCTTTATCACACGTGAAATAAGTTTCACCTTCCTAGTTTAATCAAACTAAAATCTGATGATTCAGAGCATACAGGCTTTTTAGACTGCAAACTTGAGATGCAGACACTCGTTGCTTACTTGATAATCTCTTTCCTTTGTTCTCTAATGGTCCAGGAGCTAGTCCCACTATTCTCTAGTGAAAACGTAGAGGAAGAAGAGGAATTAGGGAAACTTTTCATGGATTTTACCTGAGCCAAACCCTCTTTGATATTGCTGACACTTCTGATTGAACTGAACAAATCAGATTTGAATAATAACAACATAACTGCAGGCCAAATCAGATATTTATTTTCTTTTACAATTTAGAAATGATATTGCAAATGTTTTAAGAATTCGAAATTAACAAGTAGCAAAACATGCAAAGTTGCATATTATCTTATATATGTGTACATGTGTACATGATAGAACCTAATCTTTGTAAAATAAGATAAAAATTATTTTATTATAAAGTTAATTAATAAAGATATTAATGTTGCTCATGATCTTTCATACCATTTTGATTCACTAATGAAAGAAACAAAAGTGATTTTTTTTGTTTGCCATGATCATTTTGTGAGAGAGATTTTTATTTTGAAAGTATATATAAAGTAATATTGCTAAAATTTAATTTTCTGGAAAATGAATTATTGTAGTAGAACTTTTAAGACTCATGCTATAATTTGGTCTCTACATGAATATATTTGTTTCATGCATTATTTTTTACTCAGTAGTTTTCTCATATCAAGAATAAAAATTTAAGTATAAACCCTGCAGATTGTGCTATGGTCATTAGGAATATGAGATTTGGGATCAAGGATGTATGAATTAGAACCCTAGCTCTGTCACTTATACCTATGTAAATGGGAAAGTTATTTAATCTCACTAATCTTCATTTTTATTAGTGATAAAATAGGGATAATAACATGATCTAGCCTAGAAGATTATTGGGAAGATTAGGAACATAATGTATAGGCCAGGTGTGATGACTCATGCCTGTAATCCCAGCCCTTTGGGAGGCCGATGTGGGCAGATCACGAGATCAGGAGTTCGAGACCAGCCTGGCCAACATTTTGAAACCCGATCTCTACTAAAGATACAAAAAATTAGCCAGGGGTGGTGGCGCACGCCTGTAATCCCAGCTACTGAGGAGGCTGAGGCAGGAGAATCATCGCTTAAACCCGGGAGGTGGAGGTTGCAGTGAGCCAAGATTGAGCCATTGCACTTCAGCCTGGGCAACAGGGTGAGACTCTTATCTAAAAAAAAAAAAAGAACATAATGTATACATGTCTAGCATCCATCAATTATCAATAAATGATTGAAATTACTTATTATCTCTCCCAAAAAATACCAAAATCAATAATATTCAAAAACCTTTTCTCTTTTTTATAAAAACAAGTATGGAGGAACAAAAACTTGTTGAATTTTAAACAGAAAAACTACCTCAAGACATTGGTATGGAACTGCTTCTCAAAGTTTTTACAATAACAAATTATAAGGGATGAGAGTTTAGTATGAGAAATTATTTGAGGACATCCCATATTTTCTATTTTTATTAGTTTATACTAAGTTTTTATAATCACCATATTCTACAAATGTTGCTATAGCATTTTATACTTTTTTATTGCTTAACTGATTAATTAGGTAATAGTAAAACTGTCTAGTGGAAGAAGCCTGCCTACCTCACAGAATGAATAAAGGAAAGGGCATTTCAGTAATTCCTCAGTTCTTTGTTTAGCATATATGCAGCTGGGCGGTGAGCCAGTAGTGAAGGCTGAGAGAATAAAGGGAGCCCCCATTTCCCTTCCTACTTCGGATGTGTATTTCTGGTATGCATGAGCAAAGGAAAATACGATAGGGAAGTTGGATTTTCAAAATGCTAATAATAAAAATACAAAGTGTAATGCATAAATGTAGATGATTGTACTGGCTACTTTTAAAGTTGGTATAACGTATCTGGTCTCTGATAGAGAAATAGGTTACCCTACATGTCACATTACGTGAAGGACTGTGAATGCGCATATCCGTCTAAGCTCACATGTCCTGTCAGTTGAACCATTTGTCCTTTCAGCTGTCTATTGTGCATCTATCATTATCAGGCATTTTATTGACACCAAAGATACAGTGTTGGGCAAAGCAGATGTTGTTTCTGTCTCATAGTGCTTACAGTCTAATGAGAGCTACTGACTTTCCACGAAATAATCATAGAAACAAATAACTGATAATTGTGGACAGAGTTGGACTAAAATAGACCAGCCAGGGAGTTGCCCAGTGGAATGAGTTTAATTATAATCGCAAATAGAGAAAGCTGTATTTGACCAAAGTATTTTCATGTAGGATGTCATGTTCTAGGAAGACATGTATTTACTGTGATGCTCATGGAGTGGTGAGGGTTTGGGAAGGGGTGGGGTGAAACTTCTGCAAGGGATGCTTGACTAAGGACAGAATGGCATGCAAAGATTTTTTTAAAACTCCTTCCTGAGAAGTGTGAAAATGCCTTCTAGTGAGGCTAGAACCTCAGCCTTTCCAAGTGTGCAAAGAATAGTGATCTAAAGCAATGGCAGGTTGTCAGCTAGCACAGAACACCCCGACATCTCTACTGGGCCTTGGATATAATATGTGATATGAAGAAAAATGGAATGATGTCCTAGAAGGTATAGTAAACAAACATAATTTAGAATTGAGCTATGAGAGGGAGGATGTCAGGAAACGTCTCCCAAGGAAGACATTTTTCCACTTGATACCTAAGGACAAGTAGCAGTTAGCCCCCCCACAGTGGTGGTACTGGGAGGTGCGGGGTTCCCACATAGAGAGGAGAGTTTTGTTATTACGTTGGTGCAAAAGTAATTGCGGTTTTTGTCAACGGAATGGCATAAACTGCATTTACTCTTGCACCAGCCTATACTGTGCAATCTAAGACATGATATTTATAAACCGAACCCTAAAGGAATTATTTGACCTCACAAAGGAATTTAAGTCCTTTTTGGGTAAGTTTGTGGCACATTTCCTGGGAGACACTCATTAGCTTTCACCAATATTTAATAGAAGGAAAGCATTGAGCAAGCTTGCCCAACCCGCAGCTGTGGGCTGTATGCAACCCGGGACTGCTTTGAATAAGGCCCAACACAAATTTGTAAACTTTCTTAAAACATTATGAGACTTTTTTTGCAATTTTTTAAAACTCATCAGCTATCCTTAGTGTTAGTGTATTTTATGTGTGGCCCAAGTTAATTTTTCTTCTTCCGTTGTGGCCCAGGGAAGCCAAAAGACTGGACACCCCTGGCATAGAGGGTCAAGACAGATCTCAGGCAAAGTTATTCTTGGTTCATTATTGCCTTGATGGAAGAGCAGGCGCGTTTAGGATTCTCCTTCCTTCCGATATGCAGTGTGCATTTACCTTATACCAACCACATTTCTAGGAATTGGTGTCCCAAAATGAGCAAGTCCCTACTGTCAGGGACCTTACATTCTAGTAGCAGTGACAGTTCATGTGTATCAGATGCTACAAGTGCTATGAAGACAAATAAGGCATGATAAGGGAGTTGGAAAGTTAATGGGAGAGGGGCACAGCTTTAGGTATAATCAAGGAAGGCCTCTCTGAGAAGTAAGCTGTGTCAGTAATAGCTGTGGAAGACCTTTGCAAAAAGAGAGAGCTGCAGGTTCAAAGACTCTGAGGCATGAGTGAGTATGGCCTTTGTGAGGAGGAGCTGCTAGGAGGCTGGTGGAACTAGAGAGGCTTAAGTAGGGGGAGGGAAGGGGAGGGTAAATGAAGGATCTGGTAGGTTCTCAAGGCAATGCTGTACAGTCTTTGGTTTTGTTTTAAATATGTTGGGAAGCCACTGGGTTCAGAATGAACAGGAGGGTGACATGATCCGTTTTACCTTTTACAAAAATCGTTGAACCACTGCATGCTGTAAAGAATATGGGGAAGGAGCAGAACTAGGAAGAACTAGTAAAGGGGACTATTGCAGTATGGGTCGGATGGTGGGATATGAGGGAAGGAGAGGAAGTGAGGGTGACTTCTAGGTTTTTGGCTGACCTATTGTTCTCTACTAAGATGAGCACAGTGGGGTTGAGAGAGGAATTCCCTTTGGGACGTGTTAAATTTGATATGCCTGTTCCACATTTTAATAGAGCTTGAGATGGGAGTTGGGTGGGCGAGCCTGGAACTCAGAGGAAAGAGGAGACAGATTTGGAGAAATAAAATTTGGGTACCACTAGGGATCATCTCAGGAGAGCCAAATGGAGAAGGAGAAGCATGGACGACTGGACACCTGAGCATTGTGAGGTTAGAAAGTGAAGAGGGATGCAAGAGTCAGCATGGAAACTCATCTGTTCATGAGGAAAGTGGAGTAATGTTAAAGAGAATGCAGGTGGAGCGTGTTTTCAAGAGCAGCTTGTCAATGGTATCAAATGCTGCTCAGGGACCAAATAAAATGAGGACCGAGAATTGTGCATTTGGCGAGGGAGTGTTCATCGTTGACACTGACCTGCAGTGTGTCAGTGGAATGGTGGGGACAAAAGACTGCCTGAAGTAAGTTGGTGTTCAGATGAGAGGTGAGGAAGAGGAGACTGAAAGTCTCGATAGTTCTTTGGAGTAGTTTTGCTTTAAAGAGTTGTAGAGAAATGGAATGAGAGCTGGAGAGGCATTAGGTTCTCAAGGGAGGGGTTTTAAAAGAAGGAGATAGTATAGCAAGTTTATATGCCATCAGGAATAATCCTACATCATTATCTTCTGTTTTTTGTAGTTCCTTTCATTTTCCATTATGTATCTTTTTCCTAACAATTTTGTCAACATAATAAATAGACTTTAGAATTCAGATTAATTACTGCAAGATGCAGGTGTGTTCACAGTACAATATAAGCAATAACGTGCAATTAAGGACTTTGCTTCTATAATTCTTCCTGTTTAGGATTGTCCATTTTCAACTCTTTACTGGATTATTAGCAAACAAGTAAAAATAAAAGTAAAATTTGAGTTCCATTGATAATTATAAAAATGATACCAGAAATTATAAGATCAACATTTTTTCTTCATTGTTTAGTGGAATGTGCAGGATAACTGAAAATAAACCATGAGTCCCAAATTATTACTTTGTCCTTTAAAGGCATTTTTTTACATTTAAACATTAATAGGTATTACATTTTAGAAATTCAAGATACATAGAAGGTAATGTCAGACAGGTGTGGTGGCTCATGCCCGTATTCCCAGCACTTTGGGAGGCCAATGAAGGCAGATTGCTTGAGCTCAGGAGCTCGAGATGAGCCTGGGAAACATGGTGAAACCTTGTCTCTACCAAAAATACAAAAAAAAAAAAAAAATAACCAGGTATGGTGGTAAGCACCTGTGGTCCCAGGTACTTAGGAGCCTGAGATGGGAGGATCACTTGAGCCCAGGAGATAGAGGTTGCAGTGAGCTGAGATCACACCACTGCACTCCAGCCTGGGTGACAGAGCCAAATCCCATCTTAAAAAAAAAAAAAAAAAGTTAATGTCATAGCCAAATAAAGATCTGGGGAGAAAAAAACAAAAGGACGCATCTCCTCTCTTCTATACCTGAGCCAGTAACCTTGATGGTAACCTTGATGCCTGGGAGTGAGACTTGAGCAAGGATGTGATTGATCAGTGGCTTTCAAACCATCAGGGCCTGCAGAAGCCTGGTGCAGCCAGGTGGGTATTTTACTTTGCCCAATTTTCTTTCCTAACCACTATCCTTTTGTTCTTTATTAACTTATGTAGATGCTCTGCTATTTCTCCCCTTTTGCTACATTTCTGTCTTTTCCTTAGCCACACAAAAGCAATCAAATGTCCAGATGACGGTAATAAAATAGATTGCTTGAAGAAAAAGAGCCCAGCTCTGGTTTCCTACCATCCCACATTTTCTTTCATGCAAATTTAACACCAGCAGCGCAGAGTCTATCAGCATTTAGCAAAACATATTTATTACATTAAGACTTTTATTGAAATGGTGTCATACTTGAAAAAATAACTTATTATAGGTCCAAATGCATTATTTCTTATTAAAATAATCATGTGTTTAGATCCTTGAGTATGAAGTACTTTTCCCAAAATACCTGAGTAGAACATGTTGATACTGCTGTTAAGAAACTAATCCAATTTGGGTGTGCAATTTCTTTGGTCTTCTTCTTTTAAAGAATGTTGCTTTCTTACTATATTTAGACACAGACACACGGTGAAGAATCCTCCAAAAATATGTTATTTTCATAGCATCCATTCAGGAGTTTCAAAGGGATGTGGCTGTAGACTAATTTGAAATACACCCCATTTTCTTCCTACAGGCTGTTGCTTTTCTCAGCAGCCTATAGAAAGAAGCCACAAGTGTATTTTTAGTCTCATGCTGGTTATATTTGTGAAAGAAAATACAGTCATCACAGAGATTGCTGCAAAACTCATTGCGCATTGTGACCTAGGTTCTGTCCCGTTGATGCAACTGGAGTTTATTCCCATGGAACTTCCCATTTCAGATCTCTTTGTTTCACTAATTTTCTTCTGTCGCCAGCGTTCTCACTTGTTGGTGTCTTTGTTTCAGGTCATGAATCCTTCCTGTACTCAGTTGCTAGAGATTTCGTTCATGTCACAGACTCGCTTCTGTCTACCTTACATGTGACTGTCCTCTTTTGTTCACCATTTGGTGGAATCCTGGCGTCACCCATCCATATGACAGAATAGTCCTAGATAGCTGACCTGTGATTATGTGTGAAGTTATCTTTGCTTCCCTTGATGAATTGATTCTGTTTACTCTTAAGTATGGTGACTACTAGCCATAGGTTAATTCTTCAATTTAGAATTTGATTTTTATCGACAAACTAGCAAGTTACTTATGGTCTTTACTTTTTTAATGTTGTTTATTGGGAAATGGGACTGGAATATTGCTGTTATTTGGTTTATGTTTATTAAATATAGGCTTTGATAAGACTTGAGTGTTTCACTCTTATGGCAAAACAAAGATAGGAGCTTGTTAAATAGTGAGAGAAAGGCAGGCAGCCCATGTTTATGAAATATTGAATTTTCACTGTGAGTTCAGAACCCTTTTTTTTCCTACAGATACATTGGTGATTTGTGGTTTATTTTTACCTGATTTTCAACATGGTAGAAACTTATCTGCATTTTTTCACTTCTGGGCATGCACAAGAGGTTGAATAGATTCCATCAAAAAATTGGCTTCTTACGCTCTTGTTTATCTGAAATGCCTACAATCTGTCGATTTCGCTGCTTCATCTGGCATAGACTAGGATAGTTCTAAGATTCGATGATAATAACTGGCGCAGGGAGGAGACAGAAGCTGTCTGTATTGTTCTAAGAGAGCTAGCAGAAAGGAGAAAACTCTAAGCTCCTCATAGACTGTAAAATGCCCAGAAATGAGTTTAATTAGCTCCTCCCACCTCCCTGCATTAAATAGTAAATAAAAGTTTAAAGGAGAAAAGAGGAGGAAGAGGAGAAGGTATGGATACCCAGGACGGATCATTTTAAAAGGTAGATGTTACTTAAGGAAGTGAAGATAAACAGGACAGTCAAATCCATTTGTTAGGTAAAGCAGCTAAAGCAAGAAGATGTTTAAAAAATGGGCTTTGTTTTCATTTCATTGTAAGGTGATATTAGGTACTACCGAATAAGGTAACCTGGCACACTATTTTATTTATTAGGTCAAGTTTCTCCTATAATAAAAAGACCTAGTTTGTGTTTAAAGAAATACTTCTATGATTAAATTACATTTTACTGGTAAAGTATTCTAATGTAATCTACATATTTACTTTTTCACCAAACCTGAAAAGTTTTCTCTGATAATATTTAGTACATTGAATGTTACATATTGGATTTTGATGTGTAATATCTTTTATTTCCCTTGTGAATAGTTCTATTTAAAAAAAACTAATTTTTTCTATCCTGGAATTATGTTCTTATTAAATATGCTTCTGATTTCATATAGTACAAGTGCTGTTATGCTACAAGGGAATTCTTATTCTACATAGTAGATTGCAAGTATTTGTAGAATTATTTTGGCATCTATACTCACTGTAAGAAATACATACATATGTGAAAACATATTTAGTAAGTAAACACCTTTTCATTAGTAGGAACAAATGAAAGAAGGAAGAATATGAGATTCAAGAGGGAAACTTAGTCTTAGAATCATTACCAGCACGGTTTTAAATTGGCTTTTTAATAATTTACAACTCTGTGGCTGTGGTTTCTGTTCCCTGTTTTTTTCTTACTCCCTTAATAATTCTTTTTCTGTTCCAGACTATGTTACTATTTTCTCAGCTCTTTCACTCTGCCTGTTTTCCTTTGTTAATGGGGAAATTTGATTAACTGGGTATTCTGCTTTGTATTCTTTAGAAAACAACTAATTGATATTTGTCTTTCTATCCAATAAATAAAAAAGAGCTACCAATTTACTGGGTGATAATCACATACTCAATTCTTTCTCCAGCCACCTTTATGTAGGGGAAATGCTACTTTGATCATTGGCCAATTGTATGTGTTTTTCAAGACCAAGCAGCTTCACCTTTTTTTTTTTCTTTTAATAATTAGTTCATTTATTCAACAAATGTTTTATGGGCAATTTACAAAGCCAGGAATATCTCCCAGTCCTAGCTGTGGCACTTAAAAGAGAAATTCTTTTTAAAAGCCAGCTCTAGTTTACAGTAGACTAAAATGATTATCACACTGGGGGTCATTTCTGGTTGGATATCAGTTTAGTAGCTCACAATGAGTGATTTTAAAGAAATGAAATAGAATGGAGTAGGTTGAAAAGTATCTGAGAGTGTCACCCAAATAAATATTATTCCATGAAACTTTTGTTCATTAACTTGTTTACATATATGCAAATGTGGTACTGCGGGCAGGGGGTGTGTATATATACTAGTCATGCTGAAATACGTATTTCTTACTGTGGTTCCTGTCCAAAAAGTTTCAGAGAGACCCCACTGCATCTCTCCTTGCTTTCACTCAGCCCCTTCCCTTTTCCTTGCCCTTTCTGCACCTCCCTTTCAAAGTAACCCCCTCAGTTCTAACACCTTTTTTCTCTCACCTTCCCTCCATTTTTCTGTCTTCTTCCTTTTCTCAGTTGTTTTTCTCTGTCTCCCTCCACTCCTCACCATTCTACCTTTTTCTGAGTCTTGATTTTTCTCTTTCATATCAACCAAATCACCTTTTCCAGAAGTCATGTAATATGGAACCATGAGACCTGTAATGAAAAGGACAGTCTTTTTATTGCCATCTAGTGGCAGAATTTTAAAATGACATGAACTGAAAGACACGAGAACTCTAGGTAATCTAGTTATTTTTTCTACCATGCCCCTAATTATTTTTTCTTCCATGCCCCCGGATTTTCCCAGCTAGTTTAGTGTTGCAAGACAGTGTGGTGAATATGACCCTTTTAAGTAAAACTCAAACCTGAATTCGAGACCTAAGTTATCTACTTTGTTTTTAGACTTCGAGAGTATGAAAATTTTTTAGGACTATATTTGATTTGGGCCAAAAAAAAAAAAAAGGTTTAACTTCTACCCGCTTATCCCACTTCCCATCCTATACATTTGCATGTGACTCTATTCAGTGGAAATAAAAATGCTGCATTCTGTGTATCTGTGCTTAGTGTTTTTTAAAACTATGGATTAGGTTTGTTGGCTAAATGGAAGCGTATATATGGCAACTTGTGTGCTACTAGGAAGTTTTGCTGAGAGGTGAACCCACTGAGCAAGGATACCAGTGCCCTAGAATGTCAGAGAGAGAAAATAAAATTAAAATGGACCAGGCACAGTGGCTCACGCCTGTAATTTCAGCACTTTGGGAGGCTGTGGCGGGTGGATCACTTGAGGTCAGAAGTTCGAGACCAGCCTAGCCAACATGGCGAAACCTCGTCTCTACGAAGAATACAAAAATTAGCCGGGCATGGTGGCATACGCCTTGTAATCCCAGCTACTTGGGAGGCTGAGGCACAGGAATTGGCTGAACCTGAAAGGCAAAGGTTGCAGTGAGCCGAGATCATACCACTGCACCCTGGCGTAGGAAACAGAATGAGACTCTGTCTCATAAAAGTAAAATAAAATAAGATAAAATGAAAATAAATGCAATGGACAGTTATGTCTTGGGACAGAAAGAGTTCAGGAAAACAGAATGTAGGAAAACTTAGTAAAACTGAGAGAACTAGGAATAGCCCTTGGAGAATTCATCAGATAAACTGCCTTTTCAAATACTAGGGTCTTAGGAGTTCAGTAGGAGCATGGTAGAATTAGAAGAAGGGTAATTCTTTGCTAGGTATATGGGTTTCTCAGTTCTTTGGGGAGAGAAAGATATAGCAGGACTTGGGTAACGTATAGTAAGAATAAGCTCCTCTGCTGAGAACTGTGGTGCTTATATAATGTGGTTTATATTGTTATAAATGCTCATTTCTAAAATAAAGAGGTTGTGGTGGGGGGAGGAGGTGTTCTCCCCGAATTCTACACTACAATTTAAGCTCCATGAAAGTACCATTTAAGCCTCATTAGCTAATATTTCCCCAACATCGTGTTTGACACTAGTAAATGCTCAATAAATATTTACTGAAGAGATGGATGAAGAAATGAATGCATTAATGTGGGAAACACTGCAGGAACAGTGTTTTGTGTGAGATGCTTAGGAATGCTGTGTGGCCAGTGTAGACGTGCAGTCTGAACCCTGACAGTAGAATAAACCTTCCCATGGTGAAATAGGAGGCTGCCAAAACATAACATGTAACCAGCAAGCCTCCGCACGTCCTCACATCTACCTCACATACTACCCCTCCCTCTCAGTCTGTTGCCATTCCACCAAATACATCTCACGTCCCAGCCATGTTGCGTGGCCCTTCAGGTGACATTCTACCTTTATCCATGTAGAAAGCAAAGGGAAGCCTTTTCTTTCTCTGACAAAAGATCTGGCTCAAATGCCTTCTTTTCTGAAACAGTACATACCAAATTGTAAGGCAATTCATATACCACCACCACCCCCACAAACACACACACATCATCTTTTCTCATTGCCTTACTGCCTTATCCAACATCTGGCACACAATAAACACTCTTAAGTGCAGAATGAGTGAATACCATCCCCCAAGCTGTTGCTGTGGTATGTCAATCTGTAGTCGCCTGGTGTTCTTGAATACATTGTTTCTGCTGTTTCCCTAGTTGTTTTATTTTGTAGCACTTAATATTAGAGAATAATGTTTGGTGGTACCTTATAGATACTTGATGTGATTTAGGTTTTAGTAGTTTCTGGAGATGAACTCCTGTGGGTAAGAAATATTCTTTGGGCTTCCAAACAGTCTTAATACGTAGATATTGCTGTATGAAAATTGTAGTCAGTTCTTATTTATTCTTTTACTCTCAGGTAAAATATTTTACCTGTGAAACTAGGATAACTAATAGCTTTGATTGGATCCAGGCAATTAATAGAATCTGCTAAGTTTCTTATATAATAGTAACGCCAATTTCATTTCCCACTCAGGGCGAAACAAATTATGCCTCCTACCCCACTGCAGTTAACTGCATCAGCATCATGATGCCATAAAATCTGAAAACTGTGGAGTATGAGTAATCCCACTATAAATTGTAATAAAAATTACCTCTCCAGACTCTATATTCTCTCCATTAAGTTCATAGGCAGTGTCTCTTTGTACATAAAGTTTTATGAAATAAATCGACCATTTTTCCTGTCCTTAGCAGATAGCAAGCTGTTTTGATTTAAAAGCTGATAATGGTACAATCAGTTTTTGGTGTTTGTAGAGCATTTTAAAAGCATAAATTTCCTTTAACAAACCTTAAGTAGAAGGGAAATGCTACTTTGCTACTTTTATTTGTACCACAGAGTTAAATATCTCTCTGTGAGAAAGAATAAATGATGTATTTAGCATGGTGGGCCCATTTGTTGCATCCATAAAACAAAGATTTGGTTTTCCTCCTCAGTTCTCTGATCTTAAAAACGTATTAAGTAAACCGCAGCACGAATCTAAAATAGCTTTGTCTGAATTGTTTCCAGTGTTCTGTGTTTAGAAGGCATTTTCAATTTCTTGATTGCTTTTTTGTCTCTTCTGTGCTAAATCCAAGGGCTCCCCCTAATCATCTCCGGTGTGGCCTTTGTCAGACGTGAATGCTGTGAATCAGTCCTCTGTAAACACAGAGACCTTTTAAACAGAGGAAACCTTCTAGAGGCCTAGGTTGTAAATCTCCAGAGAACATGAACTAGACTCTGGAGGAAGTCTTACATTATAAGAAGGGGAGAGTAGGTGGCATTTGAGGCGAAAGTTGGAGAAGCGTAAAGCTTTGGTACTCAAAGTAGGTAGGAGTGTTTCAGACCAGGAAAAGAGTAAATAATGAGAGTAGAGAATGGAGGGCACACAAAGAATGAGGAATACTGTGCTTGTACTGGAAAGTAGCCCATGAGGTCACCTCCCACACAGACACTGCATATGATACAAAATATGTTGTCTACATTACATGTACTCTATGTTACTTATAGGAAAGGACTCAAGATCCTCCGTCTTTCAAAGCATTTTAACTCTTGGCTTGGATATATTTGTTATGTTCTTTGTGAATATAATTTTCTAACCACGTAAGTAGAGAATAGCAAATAAAAATGCAAAGAAAAATAAGTGATAGGAATATTTCTCAATCGTTATTTTTATAACTTGGGTTCCCCAAAATGTCTTCTCAGTAGATTTTTATGGATGCCCAATAGTCACAAAATTTTGTAGCACTTCTCTTTCTGTAGATTTTGTTACTGAAAGAAAATAGATCTACTGATTTTGCTTTACCAGTTTATAGATGCTGAATACCTCCTGAGATTCTCATCTGCCAATTCCCTTCCCAAATTAGGAAACTCCCTTTATCTGTAGGGGCACTGAGGGTAAAAAAGTGGCAGCCAGCAAAGAAAACGTCAAAATTATTATTAAAACAAGAACTTGAATAATTGCAGCAAGGTCTTTCTGGATGGGAGCAAACAGGCTAACACGGCGCTTTAGTCCTTGGAGAGAATACTTTATTACAGCGTAATAATTGCTTTTGAAATAATGACCATTAGTAATGAAAGAAAGGTTAAATTATCATCAGTCCATTTGAAAAAGGTAGCAAAGTATGTAATAAATCTTGTAAATATATTTATTAAAAATCATTTAAATAATATTAAATAACCTTTATAGAGTGCTTATATGTTCTTTCTGCTTTACATATGTTATCTTTAAGCCTGACAATAACCAACATGTAGATATTATTGTCAGTGTTTTGCAATGAGAAAACTAAGACTCATATCACTTTCTGTACCACTTATAAGGGCACAGCTTAAGAGTGGTAGAGCCTTGAATTAAGTCAGAATTTCTAAATACTCCATAGCCATTTTGCTGTACTTAGGCTTGATGCTTTAAAAAGTATGCCTTAATTATCTAGAGAATGTGTCAGTTTTAAATATCCAATTCCATAATTCCTCAAATTAGGTGGCATTATGTTTTTAAATCATTCAGTTTTTTGACAAGGATTAAAATTTATTATATATGAAATCTATTCTGTATGTAAAATAAGTATGCGTGTGTGTGTGTGTGTGTGTGTGTGTGTGTGTGTATGAATTGCGTGAGGTAATTCCATGTTGCTAAATATTGATATTATAGTACTGTATCATGTATTTTCATTTCTTTAGCATCCTGCAGCCTGAAAAACAACAGCCTTAAGCTGTAGGTTAACATTTCTAGGTGCAGGGAAATTTAGTCAAAGTGTGGTTCACTGCGTTTCAGAGATCGACATCCATGTCATTTTTAGACATATCTGGCCCCTGCCTAGAGCTCTTTTGAGCAGGGAATTGGTTAGAAAGACATATACAACACAGACACGCCTGTTCTATCTTGCCTCGTTGTGGTAGTAGTAATTTTCTGGAAGACACAAGGGGAAACTACAAAAATAAAGACACGGCCAACATTTATTATTACTGTTATAATTATATTTATTTTTCTTAGATTAATGAGTTCAATAAAATTCTGAGCACTAGCCAATAGCTAATAATCATTATAACATTACAGTTTTAGAATTATCCAAGCTTATATAGCAGATGTTCAGAAATGCCTTCTTCAAAATTGGAAAATGAATTCAATAAAGTGTGTGTTTGGTTATGGAGAATAGCTTCATAGTAAAATCTGGCATTTTCCAGTTTTTGTTTCAGTGTCTTTTCAGAGCCATATAGTATCTTTTCTGTTTTTGTAGTTCTCTATTATTTATTAAGTTTATCAAAGAGTGAAAGATCTTGCCTGCTGTCCAAAATGTGTTGGTATCATGATATGTCATAGGAAGTATTTTCTGTCACGTTCTGGAAGTTATGGTTATAGTAGATCATTACCCATTTATCATCTAACAAATGAGTGCTCACTGGTGATGCACTGCTTAGTGGCATTATTGTGCCCATTGGTATAATCTACAGTAATCAAGATAGTATAACCTCCAATTATGTGTTTTATTATCTCATTATCCACCTTGCAACTAATGCAACTATTAACAAGCACATTTCTTGCCTGTCTTGGCCAATTGTGATTACTTTAATAGTCACCATGATAAGTCCTTCATACTTAAACCTCCTTTCAATCATAATTTACACTAGTTTTAACTATATAATTTTGTGTGATCTGATATAAACAGAGGATTACAGTTTTGTCCATTTACAAGTCTAAATAAGCCACTGAATGGTTTATAACTATTTTTCAGTATTGTGTTCTATATTTATAATTATGAAGAACGTTGAGAATGCAATCATCCTTAATAGCAAGAGTAAGCCACCACAGACTTTTTTAGCATTATTTATTCATTCCATACCTTATTCCAGAAAAGATACTGGGGAGCTCAGCCATATTATTACTATTCAGTCAGTTGTTATTGTTCAGGCAGTCAGAATTTGCAGAGGCCTTGCATATTTGTAAGTTTCAGAATGCAGTGTCCATCTGATACCCGGGCATATTAGAATATGCTCAGAGAAGAACTTGGTACTAGACCTTATTTATGCATCTATGTATAAATGTAAATGCACATATACAGAGACAGATATATGTGGACATGTATATATTTTTATTAAAAAATGATACCACCTAGAACTTTATAAACCAAATGAAACTAGTTGACTTGTTATAAAACTCTTGAATTTTATCCTCTATCTTGTAACATCTGAGAAAAATATCCTTATTATTTAAACAGATATGTTGATTACAGTACTGATTTATTTTGTTTGTTGCTCTCTGACTCATCTGTCAAAACTAAATAAAATTTGGCCTGCCAGATTCAAAAATTAAGATTTCTTTTTTAAATTTTAATCTCCAATTTTTCAGCCTTTTGCTTTACCCGGGAATTGTGCAGTGTATTTCTTTCTATTCACTTATTCATGTGATTAATACACATTCATGATTTAACCACATGCACAACGTACAGTACCCACAATACACTCACAGTCAAATGGATAAAGCAGACAAAAAAGCCACAGTGAGACAAGCTCTGTAATCCAGTGAACCCAGGCTCACAGAGGTGGATTGCAAAGGAAGAGGGGCAGTATACTCGGTGGTGGTGTTGGGTGGCGGTGAGGTGTGGCTATCACTTCAGGAGAAGGCTGTTTCTCAGAAGAAAGTATTAGTTACATTCTCTGTGTAACAATGGAGGAAAGGAAGGGCAGTTTTTAAAAAATGCACTCTTGGAAATACAAAAGGGCATACTGTATCCTGGTAGATAGATTCGACAAGTAGATAAGTTGGTATTGTTCAAATGAAAAGTACTTAAAAGAAGCGGAAATGAAGCTTAAGGGCAGTATTCATGTATGTAGTTATCACAGACCTTCTGTGCCAAGCTAACGATTTATTTACTGAACTCTACAGGGAAGCATAGGAAACTTGGAAGTAGATGGGATTTAACATGGTAACATTAAAGTTTTGGGCATGAAGGGTTGAATGTATTGAAAATACAGGGAGGGAGACTATTTCAGGAAGCCACGTGAGAATTCCTGAGAGCCTGAGCAGGGTGGTGTGAATGGAAATGTGATAGAATTTGTTGGCCAGTTGGATGTCAAGGATAAAGGAAAAGATAAATCTAGGATAATGCCCAGGTTCTTGTTCTGGCACAAGTAGAAAAGCTGACAAAAACATGAAAGAAAAGTTAAGAGACATTATATCTAAAAGACGTATATCTAAAATGACATTTATCAGAATAGATAGAACGCAACTTTCAGAGAGATGTCTTGGAATTTGGAAAAATTAAGGGAGATTATGAATCTTAGATTTTAGACAAACTCAGTAAAAATCAACTCACATCTAGATATAGTACAGTGAAATTGTCAAGCATGAGTTCCCTAAACAAAATCTTAAAAGCTTGTCTGCAAAGGAATTTAAGAATGAAAAGACTTTGGGCACCAACAGATGCCAGAAAGCAATGCAATAGGCTCCTCAAAGGGCTGAAAGATCCTGAAATTCTGTACTGGGCTGAAATAAAATTCCATTAAGAGTGAAATTAAAAAAAAACAAAATTCAGACATACATTGACTGAGAGCTTAGTGCCCACACATATGAGTCTTATGCTGATAAGACTCATAAAGAATATACCTTTGCAAACAGAAAAACCCAAAAGGAAAGGAGAGCTTAGAACTGGTTTGAAAAATGTAGATAAATATATGCATGAAGATAACTTTTAATTAACTCTTGATAGTAAAACATGCACCAAAATTCTGGATGGGCCCGGACACAGTGGCTCACACTTGTAATCCCAGCACTTTGGGATGCTGAGGCAGGCGGATCACTTTAGGTCAGGAATTTGAGACCAGCCTGGCCAGCATGGTGGAACCCTGTCTCTAATGAAAATACAAAAATTAGCCGAGCATGGTGATGGGTGCCTGTAATCCCAGCTCCCTGGGAGGCTGAGGCAGGAGAATCACTTGAACCTGGGAGGCAGGGGTGGCAGTGAGCCAAGATTGCGCCATTGCACTACATACAGCCTGGGTGACAGAGACTCTGTCTCAAAATAAAAAATAAATAAAAATAGAAATAAAAAATTCTGGACCAAATGATAAATGGGGAAGGTGGGAGTGTTCTTTGGATAGTTACAGCATGCTCAATCTTGTATTTGGGAGGAGAATTGACAACATGGAATAATTTTAGACTTCAGAAAAATTTTAATATCTGGAAATATTAAGTCTTACAACAGTATGGGGAAACGTGGGTATTCACATACTAATGTGAGTGTAAATTGATTCAACAACTTTGGAGATCAATTTGGCAATATTTGGTAAAATTGATATGGGCACCCCGTAATTCTCAGATGTATACTATGAAGAAAGTTACAGCAGCATTTGTAATAGTGAATATTTTTAACAAATTAATTTTTCATCACGAAAAGGATAGATAACTAATACTGCTCCATTTAGAAAATGGTATCTTTTACTATTAAATGAAAGAGTATGAATAAATCTCAAAAATACAATGTTAAATGAAAAAATCAAATAGAAATATCATATTGTTGGCCAGTTGCGGAGGCTCATGCCTGTAATCCTTGTGCTTTGGGAGGCCAAGGTGGGCAGATCACTTAAGCCCAGGAGTTCAAGATCAGTCTGGGCAATGTGGTGAAACCCATCTGTACAAAAAATACAAAAGTTAACCAGGCATGATGGCCCACACCTGTAGTCCCAGCTATTCTGGAGGCTGAGATGGGAGGATCACTTAAGCCTGGGAGATCAAGTCTACAGTGAGCCGAGATCATGCCACTGCACTGCAGCTTGGGTGACAGAGTGAGACCCTGTCTCAAAAAAATATATATGTGTGTGTGTGTGTGTGTGTGTAGATATGATATTGTTATATGCCATTTTAAAAAGAGCAAAACTGTAGGTATTGTTCATGGACATATATGTAGTTAAGGGCCAAAAATATGAATGGGAAGGATATACACCAGAATACTGTGGAAGAAGGAAACAAAATAGGAATTAAAAAAATACAAAGGAGCTTTCAGCTCTTTCTGTGATATTTAACTTAATGATCTAAAAGAAATACCACGAAATGTTTAGATATTTTGAATCTTTTGGGAAAATAAATAGCCATTTTATGTAAGCCTGGAATTTCTTAACTAAGAAATGACTTGACATGAAAGAAAATCTGTAAGTAACAAGTTTATAAGCGAGTTAATGAGGGAGCAAGTACTAGACCCTATGTTAAATGGTTGTTTATATTTTCTTTTATATGAAGAATAGTTGGATGTGAGAAACAGTGGGAAGAAATGATTTTCAAGATTTAGGGAGTTCTCCTTTCAGAAATGAGATAAATAAAAATGCTGAAGGGCCAGGCGTGGTGGCTCATGACTGTAATCCCAGCACTTTGGGAGGCCGAGGCGGGCAGATCACGAGGTCAGGAGATAGAGACAATCCTGACTAACACGGTGAAACCCCGTCTCTACTAAAGATACAAAAAAATTAGCCAGGCGTGGTGGCGGGCGCCTGTAGTCCCAGCTACTCGGGAGGATGAGGCAGGAGAATAGCGTGAACCCAGGAGGCGGAGCTTGCAGTGAGCCGAGATCGTCCCAATGCACTCCAGCCTGGGCAACAGAGCGAGACTCCATCTCAAAAAAAAAAAAATGTTGAATGATTGATTTGCCCCTGACATCTTATTTGATAGCTTAAATGTGGCAGGCATGTAGAAAGCTTAGCTACTCTCTTATTAGCAGATGGGTTTGGTTGGGGTGTAATGAGACACCCTGGATCTCAGATCTCAGCTAGCCTCAGGGACAGCAGGTGCTTAGAGTGGAGGTAACCTGGCATCTTTGGTCAAGGAAATCAAGGCCAGATGATGTTTAGAATACATATTATTAGAGCGGTATGAATTTCTCTGTTTTTTTTCAGTAGAAAATCTGTTTTCCTTATATTACAAAAGACAGTATCCAACCTTTCTATTTATTAAACAACTACACACAGCAACCTCAAGCACCATGCAATTTATCAGAAATTTGCCTGGCAAAGGCCAAGACCTCATCCTCTGTCATAGCTCTTATCTTCTTTAGAAAATGTCTCTTTTCACAAAACCAAAATGGGCTTTCTAAAGAAGTTAGTGTAAGCCCAGTTTAAAGTTGGGAAAGCAGAGAAGACTAGTGTGTACCTCCTATGCTCTCTTGGTGTTATAGTGTATACTATAGCAGTGTTCTCACTTGCTGCACCTGGACTGTCTCGAGACAGAATTTTAACTTTGATCTTGTTCTTCAAGAGTCATTTCCGGAGATACTGCCACTGCCACCTCCCTAAACAAGCCAGAGCCTTGAGTTCCTGGGCTCAGGAAGTGGTCTGACCAAACAAACTCCAATGCAGTGGCCATACCTGAAGCCCAAGGAAGTCATACCATTCTAGTTCGTGGAAACCTCACCAGCCTTCACAGAGACTAGCCAATTTATCATAACAGGGGCAGGAGAAGGGGGGCACTGTTACAAAATATGGAAATCTCTTTAACAAACTCCAAAACACAGAGAATGCATATTTCTATTGTTTTTTTTTTTGAGGCGGAGTTTTGCTCTTGTTGCCCAGACTGGAATGCAATGGTGCAATCTCAGCGCACTGCAACCTCCGCCTCCTGGGTTCAAGCGATTCTCCTACTTCAGCCTCCCAAATAGCGGGGATTACAAGTGCACGCCACCACGCCTGGCTAATTTTTTGTATTTTTAGTAGAGATGGGTTTTCACCATGTTGGCCAGGCTGGTCTCGAGCTCCTGATCTCAGATGATCCACCTGCCTCAGCCTCTCAAAGTGCTGGGATTACAGGTGTGAGCCACCGCGCCCAGCCTGAAATTAGAAATCTATATTTCTAATAGATTGATGCGGACTAATGGAATTGTTCTTTCTTATAAAAGCATACCAAACAGAATTAATGTGGAAAAGACCTTTCATCCAATTTTACAGAGTAAATTTTTCTCTTCGGAGTTGGTATAAGATGAGGACATGAACAAATACGTCCTTCAACCAAGATTGAAACACAGGAAAAAAAATACAGTAATACTGTTCTTTTGGCTCGAAGATATTCCCAGTCATTTTTGAATAGTGACAGCATTCACCATAGGATGGGACAATCCTGAGGAATGCACTGGGGAAGTGAAGAGTCAGCACTTAATTTTGTTCTCAAAAAGAAAAATTATATTTCATGATTTTAGCAGAGGAGACCCTGACATTCACAGATACAACATCTAAGATATCTGCTTTCCAGTGTCCCAGAAGTCTGTTATATAGCGCTTATATTTAAGTTCCAAGTTAGAATCCTATGCACCGGGGGTCAGTTTATGAGTGAGACTGCACAACTACGGGGCTCATCTCAATGGCACTTTGTGTTCTCTGCCTGTGGCCCGCACAGTAACTCTTGTGAAGTGTGGGTGGAAATGTTCTCTGTGTATACGTGTTTATCAACCGATCAAATGAGAAAGAAAACTTTGATAGGGTTTTTTTTTTTAATGTGATGTGAAGATGTACACAAGAAATATGTAATTCTTGATGGAAACGTGTTCAGGGTGTAGGGACAAATGTGTCCATCCCTGAAGCCAGAGGAGGAGAGTTTTTAAGAAGAGGCCAGGCCAAGTGCGGTGGCTCATGCCTGTAACCCCAGCACTTTGGGAGTCCAAGGCGGGTGGATCACCTGAGGTCAGGAGTTTGAGATCAGCCTTTCCAGTAAGATGAAACCCTGTCTCTACTAAAAATACTAAAAAATCTGGGCATGGTGGCATGCACCTGTAATCCCAGCTACTCGGGAGGCTGAGACAGGAGAATAGCTTGAACCCAGGAGGCAGAGGTTGCAGTGAGCCAAGATCACACCATTGCACTCCAGCCTGGGCAACAAGAGCGAAACTCTCTCTCAAAAAAAAGAAGAGGCCAGAACTACAAATGAAGAGAGATAACCAAATCTTGAAAACTATAGAAAGGTCCAACAGTATGTATATAAATAATTCTCAATTTTGAGGATTTTTGATAGTCTTAGACCATATCTTCAAGAACGTCTACTCTGCTTCTAAAAGGAATTCAATCATGATTATGTATCAAGACTTATCTTTAACCTTGCAGGTTTAAATATATTCTAAAATGAGGCACGGAGAGCATACTAATTGGAGGAAGACAGCAACACTGATTCTCTATGTGGCACAATAGTTCTGCATGCCTCCGCCCACCCCTTGCTTTTTTAACTTTTCAACTTTGAAACTAGCAGAGAACCCTTCTGTGGTAAATCATTTACATACCATCTAGCTGTATATAGCATAGTTGATATAAAAGCAGACTTAAGTTCGAGGTGGATTTTTTGCTCTTTTTTTTTTTTAAGTATTTCTTACATTTAAAGTACCTAAGACTAGGGCTGTGATTTGGTGATACTTAAAATTATTATAACAGATTTTAATCTGCCTTAAAAGATTCCATTTTACTCAGTACACAAACTAGAAAACACAGATAGGGGCAACAGACCAACTAAGGGAAATAAGAAAAGTGAATAAAATGGCCATGGATTAATGCCTAAAACCTTCTCTGTACATTGCAGATGAAAATGAGTTTGGTGATCTCATTGTTCTCCATATGTGTGTACCACAAAATCACTTTATTATTATTTTACATCTCTGCCTATAGTAGTTTCAGTTTTGAATAAATCGGTTTGAGCTGATTGGCTTGGTTTGGAGCAGTTATAATGAATGAACAAAAGGCAAAGGTTATGGGGAATAGTGGTGTGGTGATATCTCAGAGGGCTCCTAGAGTTCAGGGCTCTTGGCCAGCTCTAGAGTTAGTGGAAGCACACACAGTGGAAAAACCTACTTATTAATGGAAAATTTTATGAACTTTTAGAAATCACAAAAGCCTTTTATGCTCTAAGACGTACTTTCAGGAAACAAGACAATTGTAAATCTCTATTCATTTTCTTTTTATAAACAAGAAAAGTAGTCTTAGTCATGATTCTTTAGAAAAATGAAACTCTAGTAGCTGTTGTGACTTCAAAAAAACATGAATTTTTAAGTTATATTTTATTATTATTTTTTAATAGAGATGGAGTCTCACTTAGTAATCCAGTCTGGTCTTGAATTCCTAGGCTCAAATGATCCTCTAGCCTGGGCCTCCCAAAGTGGTGGAATTACAGGCATGAGCCACCACACCCAGCCTAAACTAGGATGAAGGATGAAATTCCTTCATTTTAGTTTCCAAGCGGTAATTCATGTGATAGAAATGAGAGGTATTTGGTAGTGTTTAAAATGATTTCCTGAAAGGAAAGCCCATTAAATGGAATTTAGCTGAAAAGTGAATAAAAATTATGAACGTTTTCATTCCCATGTCATCCCAAACCAAAAATATAATCTAAGACTTCAGAGAATAATAGAAATTTAATGATTGTGACTTTTCTCTCACAAATGTTAATATTAGAATGTAAGTCAGAATGTAATTTTTTAAATGAAATGTGAGCTAGACACTTGCATCATTATATTGCAGAATCTCTCATCAGCTGGGAATTACTGTGATCATTTTCAGTAGAGATCTGCATTAAACTTTACATTTTACTGTGTACAAGGGAGTATAATTGACGTGGTCTCCCCTCTCAAGGAGTAAACAGCATAATTGGAGAAACAAAATAAGTGTATGCCTAACTATAATTCAAAATGGAAAGTGCAAAAATGCCATGAAAATATATAAATACAAAGTATAGGTATTCTTTAAAAAGGAGAGATGCATGTAGTTAGAGAAGGAAAAGAAGGGTCATGAAGGTATTATTCTGTAGGAAGGGTAGATTGTGGTGGCAGAATTGTGAAATGGAAGGAAATGGCTAGATAAAGCTGGATTCAGGGGCTTCGGGGATAAGACTCATCATTGCTCCCAGTGGAAAATGAGTTGTAGGATGCGGAGGGCTGCTGAACCATATTCGGTAGACAGTGGGAAAAAGTCAAGGATTTCTAAGTAAGGAATGTCTTAAGGAAAGCCCTGCATACATTCAGTTACCAGAGAAATGCTCCATGGGACAATTTGTACAATAGGACTTCAAGGAAGTCGATGAAAAGCAGTGGGAAAAGAAAATAATCATTGGGTAAAAGCAAGAGCACTTAGCATCCGATTTAATGAGGGGCACAAATGAAATGAATCAAAGTTTGGAACGTGGGTCACTGGGAAAAGGATCTCTCAGCTGAAACTCAGAAACCAGGAGAAAGAATAGGACTTGTGTTTGAAATGATTTTTGAGGAATACTAGTCAGTAGGATGCTGGAAATGAGACTGGTGTTTAGGGGAGAGGTCAGAGCTGAGAATGTTGATTTGGTATTCATCCCTTCTGAGATAGCAATTGAAATTGGGGAAATTATGGAATTCTTTGGAATTGCTGAGAAGCTCACCAATAAAGAGGCAGACAGAAAAGAATAGGTAGCGAAACCTAGGGCAGCAACTAACACTTAGGGGTATACAGAAAGGAGATGAAGAAGTTAGAAGGATAGATAACCAGAGAGAGACAAAGGCCCAAGAGAATAATGTATTTCAGTCAGCAAATACTTTTTCTAAAGCCAGATAGTATTTTATAACCAGACCTACAGTTTCTGTGACAACGACTCAATCCTGTTTTGTAGCACTAAAGATGCCAGATATGAAGTAAATGACCATGGCTGAATAAAACTTTAATTACAGAGACAGGTGGCAGGGCCCACAGGGCTTAATTTGCCTATCCCCGAGGCCAAGGGAGAAGAAAGTTTTAAGAAGAAGCCAGAAATGAAAGTGAAAAGGAATAACCAACAGTCTTGAAAACTGTAGAGAGGTCCAACAGCATTACAACTGAGAAGTGGACCTTGCACTAGGGAATTATAAGAACATTATGAGGTTATTTTTTAATATAATGGTAGCAGAAGCCATTACACTGTCAAGTGAACAGACAAAAATTGGGGGAAAAATGAGTAAATTGCATATTATATCTACACAGTACCAACATCCCAAGATTTACATAACTGATTGAACTTTTAAATAGTCATCTGGGGTTATGGCCATCACAGTTGCTGCTCTGTAGAGGCATTAGCATTAGCAAAAGTAAAGGAAACAAGAAACAAGGCATTGTCGAAACATTAGTAAACAAAACAGGACCCTGGAGAGCTATTTCTAATCTTGGAGTTCACCGTCCTTTGAGTCAAGCTTTATTTACTCATGAATGTTTCTCTCACTATCTGTCTTGATGTGCTAGGAAAATAGTCTGTTTGAACAACTGATATTCTGAAACCAAATGAAGTCAGAATATCACTTGTACAAATATATTAGGAAGGACGTGCCACATAGACCTTGATGTAACCAAGTCCTGAGTTTTAACTGATTCTGTGTGCAGCCAGCAGGAGGTGACCAAGGAGAAAAAAAGCTAGTGTTGTTTTTAGGGAATGTTAATGTCATAGATGATTCCTGTGTGTGTGGCTCCAGCTGAATCCCCCACTATGCTCCAGGCAGAGATAGCCAGAGGGATCCTTATCAAATGATAAAATTTTGTATCATGTCATCCTTCTGCTCAGTACCCTCCAATGGCTTCCCTTCTCACCCAGAGCAAAATTCAAAAGCCTATGTCACCCTCCAAGGCCCTCTGTACTCTGCATGCCCTCCTCTGCCTCCTCTCTCTGTCCTCATCCAGTTCCCTGTATTGGTTCCAGCCACAGCTTCCTTGCAGGTCCTCAGGCACATGAAACACATTCCTACTTTATCACCTGTGCACCTGTTATCTTCTCTGCCTGGAATGCCCCTCACCCTACAAACAAAACCCAAAAACCCTCACCTGCAAGCTTCTCTTACTCAATTCCTTCAAGTCCTTGCTGAAGTATCTTCTTCTCCATGTGGCCTTTCCTGGCCACCATCTCAAAAATTGTCCACTGCCACTATGCAACCCCATCTGCTTTCCCTGCTTCATTTTTCTATATGGCACTTACTATCTGACGTAGTATATATTTTTCTTTTTTGTTAATGATCTGTATCTCTGCAGCATGAGAGCAGGAATTTTAATCTGTTCACTCTTTTTCACTCTTCTTTCTCCAGCCAGAAGACTGCTTGCTACCTCGTAGGTGTTCAATAAATATCTGTTGACTAAATACATAAATGATGTAAATAAGTAGTAGTTTTATATATTATCCAATATGTGTTCTGCCTCTGTAATGGTATTTTCAGTTTAGGTACACGTGAAAAGAAAACTGCCTAATTTGAATAGTCCAGGAGATGGTGAGAGATTTAGAAGGAGTGTTATAGAAGGGAATGAGTGAAGAAGCAGTAAATTTACTGTCAGGGTAAAATGGAATGATGATTGACTACTAAGAGCCAGGCCAGGACTAAGTGCTTTGCATGTATTATCTTCTTTACTCCTTAGAGCAGCAGTAGCAGGAGAAGAAACTGAAGATTCCCGGTGCAAAATCATTGCCCAAGGTCAGATGTTGCAAATGACAGGGCCAGAAGTCATCCCATGTTCCCTGAAGCCAGAGCCATGTTTTTATCCTAAAGAAGCTTCCTGACCCTCCTTTTCTGGAACAATTTCTGCATAGAATGTGTTGGAGGAGGATTCTTCTACCTACTGATACTATGAATTTTCCCAAACATTCCTCCCCAAACATTCATTTTTCCCTTTGTTCCTGCACTCCCCCTCTGCCCTCCTTTCTAGAATAAACCAGCAGCTCTCCTGGAAGCCGGGGTTTCTCTAACTGGGACATGTTTCAGCCTTGGCAGGGCGAACAATTAGGGCACCTGCAGATAGCAGGGAGCCTGTCCGTAGCTAAAAGAGGGAGAAAAGAGGTCCATCAGCCCTGTGGCGCCTGCCTGGGCAGCCACTTCACACCTTCCATCTGTGTATGGCCCTCTCCTCTCCAGCCCTGGCGCGTGGAGGTGAAGGGATTCAGTATCTGCTTCTGGGATTCATTCCTGTTAGGAAATGTTAGTCTGTAAGTTTTCATATATGTTCTTAGATTGTTGTGTCGTACACATTTAATATTGCAACCTATAGAAATAGAAGAATGTCCTTTTCCTTAAGAGTGGGTGCATAGGCAAGTTTACTTCAACAGAAGTTAGAAGAGTGTTTGGTCTTTAGACAGCAGGCAGGCTGGGGTGAGGGGAGGTGAGAATGAATTAGTGTCCCCTGCATCTGTGTCAGTCTACTATTACATGAGGGGAGGAAACAAGCAAAGTTTAAATGTCTCATGTGAGCTGAAGAGAAAAAACATGAAATATACCTTTGGGTGACCATACACCAGTGAGAACCCACCCATATGAGCATCCTATCAAGTCTCAGCTGAGGAGAAGAGCTGAAAAAGTGTTCGGCCGGCGCAGTGGCTGTCGCCTGTAATCCCAGCTACTTGGGAGGCCAAGGCAGGAGAATTACTTAAATCTGGGAGGCGGAGGTTGCAGTGAGCCGAGATCGCGCCATTGCGCTCCAGCCTAGGTGACAGAGTAAGACTCCATCTGAAAATAAATAAATAAAAATAAATAAGTGTTGTTCATCATAACTAAATGGCCCCTTAGGGCCCAAGAAGAACCTTAGCTGCACAATACTGAAGGATCAAAGAAGATACTGCAAAAGCCAAAACACCTGTAAATACATTTGAATATTTTGAATTGAAAAGTAAATGATGCAGAATGCAGTAGGTAGCTTTTATGTCACTAAAACAAGGTTGGTTCTTGGGAGGAGAATAAAGAAGAATGTTGTTAAAAGTAAACAAATCTAATTTTGCACATCTTAATTGGCTTTAATTTGATTCCAGAATCAGACAACAGTCTAGACCAAAAATGTTCAGAATGCTTCACCCTACGGCATATGCAGATTATATTTATAGCCAAAGAAAAGGAGGTGACATGCAGAAAATGGAAGTGAGGTACAGAGACAGCTCCGTTGGTTAAAATGCAGCATATGCCTTAATTGAATCTGGTTTCAACAGTTGGCCATCTTTGATTGACCGAAACTCAGCTACTTGTTGCAAGAGGAGGTTACGGTCTGTTTCCACGTCAAGTTAGGTTACAGTTCACTATGTACAGAAGAAACTTTAGGCCAAACTTAAAACATGTATAGAGGCAGCTTTAGGCCAAACTTAATTCAATTTAATATTGTTGTAGGCTGACTGTAATTGTAGTTGTAGTTCATCTCCATCATTGCTAGGAAATCTCTAGAAGGAGCTGGGAGAATAACCTGGTGCACTAACTTTTTATTGCTGCCCTACAACTAACCCTAAAATTTAGTGGAATAAAATAGCAAGTCTTGTCTTTTTCTTTCTTTTTTTTTTTTGTTTTTCTTTTTTTTCTTTTCTTTTTTTTTTGAAACAGGATCTCACTCTGTTGCTCAGGCCTGGAGTGCAGTGGTGTGATCGTAGCTCACTGCAGCCTCAACCTCCTGGGCTCAAGTGATCCTCCCACCTCAGCCTCCCAACTAGCTGGGACTACAGGCATATGCCACCACACTCTGCTGATGTTTTAAATTTCTTGTAGAGGTTGGGTCTCACTACGTTGTCTGGGCTGGTCTCAAACTCCTGGGCTCAAGCAGTCCTCCTGCCTCAGCCTCCTAAGGTGCTGGGATTACAGTGGTGTGAGCCACTGCACCCAGCCTAAAACAGCAGGTATTTTATTTGCTCAAATTCTGTGAGTCAGAAATGTGGCATGGGTTTAGCCAAGAGGTTTTCAAGCAGGTCTCACCTGGGGTCACTCATGGTGTAGTCATCTGGTGACTGTAATGTAGCTGGTGAGTCTAAAATGGCTCACTGACATGGCTCACAGTGGGATTGGCCGCCTGCTGAGCAGCATGTCTCCTATAGGCTCTCCCGGGCTTCTTCACAAGTTGACTAGGTTCTAAAAAGAGCAAGGGAAAAGGGGAAACCCAAGGTGCAAGTGCTTTTCAAGCCTCTACTTGTGTCACATTTGCTAATGTCCCATTGGTCACTTCAAGTCTTAGAGCCAAGCCCAGAGTCATTGTTGAGAAGTGGCCACATCAGGGCATGGATACAGACAGACATGATTTATTGGAGGGATCGTTATAGTAACAATCTACCATAGGAGAGTATTTGAAAATCAGAGTATATCAGTTCAACTTCAGGTGTTGGGTTCTGAAATTTTCTCCCCAGGATTTTGACACATGGAATGAAACTCACGTAGGATTCCAGAACACCTCCAACTCCGAGGAATGACACCTCTACCAGCAGTGAGCTGGGTTACCCAAAACTGTCTGATCCCTTTTTCATTAAAGAGCAATAAAATCTTAAGTGTAAATTTTTTTCAGGTGTTTATAGATCATCTCCTGTTCTCTTACTTACAGAGGCTGATATTTTTTTGTTTCTGGTGTCCAGATAACTTTCTTTGGTCTTTAAATGGGCATGCCAGAGAATCAGTCCTTCCTAAATGGGCTGAGATGCTCAAAGACTGATGGAGGTTAACTAGGGTTGATGTCCCTATTCTACATTTAATAAAAATAGAGTGGAATTATGCAAGTATGCAGATAAGCTAATCATCTGACCTAATCAGCAATGCAGATTTTGAAAAGCCTTTCTAATTACTTCCTCAGCTTGGCTGAAGGTATGGGTAAAAAGATTTTCCCAGCATGATGGTAGCAGATGTATTTCATAATATTTATTGAAAATATTGGAAAGAAATCCTCAATTATGCTCCTGAAAAGTACATCAAAAAGATATCATATTTAACATATTTTAAACTTTCATTAAGATACAAACATAACATAATTAGATGATCATGTAACAACTCTCACACAAGGTTTTGGAATCTTTCATACAATTAGACTTTAACTTTCAGAGCCAGATTGCTCATGGTTAACTGCCTCTATCTTCCTTGAGTTGTATTACTTACTATAAGAGCTCTAGTTGTCTTGGACAAAATGGTACTATCAGAATATTTTCTTTTTTCTTGGCTGTTTGCAAATTTGGTATCTTGGCAAAGGCATCGTAGTGCATGATGTTTCAACAACTTTAAATGTTAAATTTTTGACATTTACAGGTGTATGCAACACCATACAATATGTGATTTGGAAGCTTAGATAGATCTGATATTCATTTTCTTGGCTGGCTTTGAATAGTTGTGAATGGCTGTTAAATGAATCATTCTAGAACAGGATTGCCCCAAAAGAAGCTATCTATGAGTTCCTAGCTGAATTCATATTATTACACAAAGTCATTCCTGGATCCTACGTTCCTTTAGTGTTGGTTGTTCATCTTGACCTTCCATTCTGTGAGCTGCCCATTATCTTTCCAGTACATCCCTTTTAATATAAGTTAGCCTGAGCCAATTTCTGTTGCCTACAGCGAAAATAAATCTTAAATGATAATGGTTCCTTCAAGTGCCCTTCGAGTGACTGGGTAGTTAAGCTGTCTGTTACCAGATAGTGATGGAACTGGTTGCTTTGCCCTACAGTTTCTCCAACATCCCTCTTCTAGTGGATCTCCTCCAGAGATCAGATGGAAAACAAACAGTCTTTTTGTCTCATAGCTGGTGGTACAAAGAAAATATTCAAAAGCTCTTAATGAATATTATTGCCTAATTCCTAACATTTGAGGAGGTACAGAGTCACATGACAGTGATTTTTTTTTTTTTAAGACAAGGCCAGAAAATATGGATAATCTGGTATGTGACAATTTCCTTGTTAGCCATGTTGAAATGAGAGCATAGTTGCATAGGAACTGAAAGTCATAAACTGTGACACGTTTTTATGTCCAGACTCTTAAATCCCTAGATCAGTTCCTCAACCTGGGTACTTCTGCCATTTTGGACTGGTTCAGTCTTTGCTGTGAGAGGCTGACTGTCCTGTGCATGGTGGAATGTCTACAATATCCTTAGCGTCTGCCCACTAGATGCCAGTAGCACCCTCCCTATCCCCCGCCCCAAGTTGTGACAATCAGTAATGTCTCTGGATGTTGCCAGGTGTCTCTTGGGAGGCAAATTTGCCCTTGGTTGAGGACCATTACTTTATATTATTTGAATTATCTTCTTTTAAATTTAGTATTTACCAAACACTTCCATTGTGCAAAGCACGTTTTGGTATATTTATATTTAAAGTCAGGATGTGTATCAAATACACGGGTGCACACGAGGTTCACTAGATGTAAATTCTTTCCTAACCAAGTGTAGTTAGAAACGTGATGAAATATGTTGAAACCGTCTAGGTATAGTTTTTCTAGCCAGACTGTAAATATTAGACACAATCATCCGAAGTTGCCATTTCGTGGGTAAAAATGGTACATTCTCAGCAATTCCATGTGGTTCGGTGTAATGTATGATACACAGTAACCAAAAAAAGTGATTTGAGACCAAAAAAATGAAATTATGAAATGTACCCAAATGTCATTATGACCATGATTTCACCTGCATTTTGCCTTCCCCCGCAAGCAGTGGTGGTTTTAGAAATCTTAGGCAGCCATACAATTTAACAGTGTGGGTGTGTAGCTCATGTGGTACTTTTCATTGAAAAGATATGCCTAGTTTGTGCGTGAAGCGAGGGCTGATAGAAATTCTGGGCAGTGGTTGCTAAATCTCTTCACAGGGAGAAGGAGATGGAAATGAAATGTAATTTTTAAAAATATGTGTTAACATATGTTGACAGTAAGTAACCCTCTCATTTGAAAGATCTGATAGTCTTGGTCAACAGGGGTCAGAACATTGTGCCGTTTCCTGCTTTGGCAAATTCACGATTGGAGAAGAATCATATCTGGAAAAGTAAAACAGGATAGAGTTCAAGAGCACTGTTAGCACATATAAACAAGATTTCTAAAATGCTACCACTTCTGCCATTTTTATGCCTTCAAATCCCACCTTATAGTAGTAATGAACTTGGAAACAGTGATTCACTGAAGTAAGAAAAATACGTATACTTTCTTTTAGTCACGCAAGCCCTGTTCTTTTAACTTATTATGAGAGCTATAAGCAACTAATATCTCCTTTCCGCATGCTCTCTACCTTCCAGGGAGAGTGCTAATGAGCAGTGAAATGGCCAGAGCTCTGGCAGCAGAAGCAAGGAGGAGGAGAAACCAGAGGGTTGAACAGTAGCTCAGGAGCTACGTTATCAGCTTTTGACCACTCAGGAGTTGGTAATATTGTGGATTTCGTAGTTTCTATTCTATAACCATACCCTGAAATTCTTGAGAGCTGGTTTAGGTTTTGTAACTCCAATGAAGGGAAAAAGAATCAGTAAGTACTCAGAACATAAAACCTGGAGCTTTCACTGATTCCTGTGATGTCTAGAGAATTCCATTTGCATGATATGCACAGAAGTTCCATACTTGATGTTGGTCCAGGACAAGGTTAACTTTCTGCGCACTGATTTTAATTCATTATATATGCCTTTTCTCTCCAGCACAAATGGACCCCCGAGGCCTATCTCCCAGACAAAGTAAAAGTGACAGTGATGATGATGACCTGCCAAATGTGACCTTAGATAGCGTTAATGAAACTGGATCTACGGCCCTTTCCATAGCCAGAGCAGTACAAGAGTAAGTATCACATTCACAGGATGAATTAAGAATTGCCAAGGTGTTCAATGGATAATGGAAACTGCAGCATCTCCTGTCCCCCAGCCATGTCATTCTAGCTGTGAACTGGCACGAATGTCAGCAGCTTTTCATTCAGCTGAATGCTCTTTGGGAGATTAGGGCAGAGAATGGAGTGTTTTAATGAGTTGGAAATTCATGCTTTGATGAGATATAAGACCTATGTGCATCTTTTCTAATACCTCCTGCACCCTTCTCCTGAACTCTGCAAAAAAAAAAAAATTGTTATTTTTGAATGTCACTATTTGATTATCATCATCATTATTATTACACAAAGTCAAGGGAAATATGGCAAAGTATTGTTATCTTGTTTTGATAGGAAATTACAGAATAGCTTTTTGGAAGATTTAAATTTGGAAAATAATATGTTCATCCTTTGAAAAGTAGTACTCATATGTTATTTTTAAATGAATCTTTTCTCTGTCCTTTTACCTGGACCGCAGGGTTAGATTTCAGCCCTCGTTTATTGAAAATAGCTGCTTTTCTATCAGTCAACCTTGTACCTAGAATTGAACCTAAATGATTGAAAAAAAAAATCCATGTTTTTTTTTGTAGAATAATTTTTTCAGCTTTATTGAGGTCTAATTGACACATTAAACTTTATATACTTAAAGTATATGTGCTGATTTAACATACATGTACATAGTGAAATGTTTACCACAATTAAGTTAATTAATACATTCCTCACCTTACATAGTTTTTTTTTTTGTGAGAATGCATAAGTTCTACACTCCTAGAAAATTTCAGGTATACAGTACAGTATTATTAACTGTAGTCACCATGCTGTATATTAGGTCCTAAGAATTTCTTCTTCTTCTATCTGCAAATTTGTACCCTTTGACCAGTATCTCCTCTTTTCTCTGACACCCCAGCCTCTGGCAGCCACCATTCCTCTCTGTTCCTATGAATTCAACTTTTTAAAAAATCTTCCACATATAAGTAGTGTCATACAATATGTGTCTTCTAGAGTAATTTTTAGTAACATAATCTTGAAGATGAGGAGGGTTTAAATAGCCACTGTTATTGCTGACATACTTGTTAATGAACAGTTCACTCAAAATTATCTTAGTTACCTTTACCTCTGTTATATCCATTTATTTTCCCCAAATGTTGATTAAATACCTACTTTGTTTTATTCATTAGGCTTTGAAATTAAAAAACAAAGAAAAGAGAGCCTTGGTATTGCATTTCAGAATTCACAGCATAAGTGTATGTCTGTGCGTATATAAAATGAATAATATATCTATGTTATAGAGATAATTTGTATTATATGTTGATATTGTATATGAATATACATATAATACATCAGAGAAAACAAGATATAATTGATCTAAAATGAAGTGTGGAGTCAGATCTGGATACAAATTTCCATGCAAGCTCTTAATAGCCGTGTGACTTCTGGCAAGTTATTTAATCACTCTGAGGTGAGAAGAAAATCAGAATAGTTATCTGACAGGACTATTGAGAAGGTTTTGATACAGCTACGAGGTGTGAAAAGTAAGTCACAAAGTTTTGGCATATAGAAAGCTTCAATTATTGGTGGAATTAGTATTATAGTAGTAATTAGTAATAATAGTACTAATAGTAATAGTACTAGTGCAGTAGTTTAAGTTTATAACCACGAGGAAATATAAATACAGCAAGAGTCATTATTCTGATTTTATAAATGAAGATACTGAGGATCAGAGGTTGATGACTTTTCCAGTCACATAATAAATGGTAACAAGACAAAGTTTAGAACTTTGAGCTCCAAAAACATCTTTTTCTAGCCTATAAATCTGTTATCAGTAGTATTATCCTGCTTGAGCACTTATAAAAACATTGTTTGCACGCCTGTAATCCTAGCACTTTGGGAGACCAAGGTGGGCTGATCATGATGTCAGGAGTTCAAGGCCAGCCTGGCCAACATAGTGAAACCCCATCTCTACTAAAAATACAAAAATTAGCTGGGCGTGGTGGTGGGTGCCTGTAATCCCAGTTACTCGGGAGGCTGAGGCAGGAGAATCACTTGAACCCAGTAGGGAGAGGTTGCAGTGAGCTGAGATCACATCACTGTACTCCAGCCTGGGCAACAGAGTGAGACTCCTAAAAAAAAAAAAAAAAAAAAAAAAAGAAAGAAAAATTAAAAAAATAAACATTGTTTATCTCTTACTTGTGTATCTCTAACTTAGTTTCTCCAAAGCAAATGTTAACTTGAGCCAGCATAGACACTGAATCCAAGAGATTGCTGAGATCTTCCTAATCCCTGACTCACCACGGTCAGCACAGTGATTCTGATTTTGTGTGAGCTAAATCCTAAAATTGAGGAGTCTGTGTTCTCATCTGTATATTTAGACTAAATGATGATAAGTTTCAATTCTGAGATGAATACATTCCATAGACATTTTAATCACATTGTTTTCCTGCATCATTCTAATGTGTATTTAATTTGTGTGTGTGTGTGTGTGTCTTTATAAATATATGCATTTCTTTTAAATTAAACTTTAAAGTTTGGAACTGTAGTGACTAAAATCTAAAGTATGCTTACAGCCGGGCGTGGTGGCTCACACCTGTAATCCCAGCACTTTGGGAGGCTGAGGTGGGTGGATCAAAAGGTCAGGAGATCAAGAGCATCCTGGCCTAAATAAACAAATAAATAAAATAAAATAAAGTAAAATAAAAAAAGTATGCTTACTCCATTTGGGGCTTGTATAGCAAATAATTATATTGACTTCTTAAACATAACTATTTTTGTGCTTTTAATACGTGCATATTATGTATTAGTATATTTTAATGTGTAACTGTTTAATAGAAACCTCAGGAACTGGAGCTTAATTTTCAACATAACCTTTCTGATTTGCTTTTTTTTTTGAGATGGCGTCTCGCTCTGTCACCCATGCTGGAGTGCAGTGGCACCATCTCAGATCACTACAACCTCTGCTTCCCAGGTTCAAGTGATTCTCCTGCCTCAGCCTCCCTAGTAGCTAGGATTAAAGGTGCCTGCCACCATGCCCAGCTAATTTTTGTATTTTTTGTAGAGACAGAGTTTCACCATGTTGGCCAGTTGGTCTCGAACTCCTCACCTTAAGTGATCCGCCTGCCTTGGCCTCCCAAAGTGCTGAGAGTACAGGTGTGAGCCACCGCGCCCAGCCTACACCTTTTCAAGTCACAGGATTTTATGTAATAGTGCAAATGCCTGTCTTTATTATTATTACAAAAGTTGCATGTGTATCATGGGAGATGCCAGATTCATTACATGTCAGTGTTTTCATTAAACGATTTAGTTAAGAATACACTGAGCTAACAACTGGGAAGCCCTAGAATGCCAGGACCCATCAATAGTTAATGAGTCATCATTCAAGACTGAATGTGCATGTGTAAACACTGGGAAGTGTGCAATGAAACAAAAAGAATGTTCTGCAGAGACCTCTTAAATGTAGATATATAGATCTTTGAAAACTAATAGTAATATATTAAAATTTTATTCTGAAATAAGTATATAATTGTTATAGAATTTTTAAAATTCTATACATAGATCAAATGACAGAAGTGGTGAGAGAAGTCAATAAATCTTAAAATTTTATTAAATATAAAAATTTTAAAAATTCTGTACATAGGTTTAGTCAAAGTTAACTTTCAGTGTGCACAATTGCGAACTTCTCTTTCTGCTTTTCTGTTAGTTTATCCTTTATTAATTAATGGATATGACTATTTCACCATTAATTTCTCTTTCTTCTTTTTCTGTTTGTCTTTCCGTATCTTGATGACTTCTGTAAACTTAAAGGCTGTCAACAACAAAAAAAACCCCAAACATTTCATTGTAATATGATCAATAAACTTAATGTATTAAATAACAAAAGGATAAAATGTCAGATTAGCATGTAAAAAAATGAAAACATTTCAAAGGACCTCTGTGGATCTCTCTGTTTCCTGTACTTGAAGAACTTTTCTAAGAGAGTTAGGTTGAGAAGGATGGCTGCAGGTAGGGAGGTGATAAAATCAGAAGTTTTCTATATATTACAGGCAACACATTTTAGAAACCCTGGTCAACTAATTCACATTTGTCTTTACAATTAAAGATCAAAGGAGCCATGGTCTAAAAAGGATTCAGACATTTGCCTCTTATTTCCTTGGCCACCAGTAGAGTGTCAGGGAAGGGAAGGGGGAAAATGAGAAAGGAAAGGGATATGAAGGAAGACTGACACCAGAGAGGGTGAAATTGCCTTGCCCTGGGCCAGCCTTTCTGCTGTAGGCCTCTGACAAGATGCTAAACCACAGGTAAATATCTCTAACTGAAGCTCTTCTTGTCTCCTTCCCCATTCTTGCTCATAGTCTTGCCTCATGCAATAACTGTTCAAGTTTGGATTTTTAATTTGGTGCCTTACTTTGTTGACATTAGTATATTTATATAGCGTGAACATTCCTGAGCTAGTAAATTATTTGTCCTAAATGTCTGGTGCTATGTATTTTGCTGGTTTTTAAAATGAACTTTAAAAAATGTTCCTTTTGATTTCATATGCAGAAATTGTTAACCAAGATACATCTACCCACCCCACCCACCACTGCAAATATTCAAATATGCCTGCATTCAAATTAAAAAGACCGCTGCTTAGTGGCTACAACAGCAATCTGAATCGACCTCTGTTTACATAGATTTATGTAATGAGTCTACTAAACTGTGTGCTTGAACTGATCGTTTCAACCATTTTCATTAATTAACTTGACTCTCATTTATCCACTCAGGATCAGTAAATTTAGATAAATTGGAAGAAGCAGCCACCAAGAGACCCACAGTCGGGCTCTGCGTTTTTTCTATTTCAATTGTAATAGATACTGTCCAAGTCAAAAATCACGTATTCAGTGATTCTGACAAAGACAATTTCCTGCAGTTTTTAGAACATCTGTTTTGTTTTGGTCTTGATCCCCCACCCCCTTGATGATAAAACAGGGTCATTACCCTTAACAACTTGACAAACATAGTTATGAAATAAGTGTTTGGAGAAAGAGAGGTAAAGGCACATGATAAGAGCAAATGATTATAATTAACTCTAATCCTAGACAAAATAATGATGTCTTTTCAATAGGTGAAGTTTAGCTTTGTTATCTAAAGCCTCTAATTTTTGCACCCCCTTTCCTTCTTTCTCATTCCAAACATTCATAATGCTCATTTATTAATGCAAGTAGAAGAATCAAGTTCCACCAAACTCGACCTAATAACATCTGAAAGGGAGCACTCCCTGGAGGAATTTCTGTTTTACTAGGAACAAGCTAAAGGATGTGGATATAATTCAGTAAAACTGAAGAGAGGAAGAGTGGGGTGAAAGGTGGAGGAAAAGATACAAGATGCTAAGGAGATATGCTTGTTTTCCAGAATTAGTCCTTTCAGAACTAATGAATTACATGTTACTGTTTAACTTACTCCATAGCTTAGTAGTAGTCTACTCTCTCTGATTTTGATTATAATGCTCAGTTGATAGTGTTAGTAATCAGGGATGTTAGCATCCCTGATAACTGCACCTATGAAAAGGATATTCTTTTTAAATGGTTCATTGTCAATTACATTTAAGCTAATTAAAGCACTTCACTGTCGTTCTCTGCCTGTTTTTATTATTATATGGCTTATATGAAGTGCTCATCGTCTTAAAGAAAAACAACTAGTGAATTTCTGGAAATGTATAGTCTTATCTTTGGTACTTTTTTACATAAATGCTCTTTAAAAGAGCAGATATGGTAGCAAGTTAGATACCCTATTGCTTCCTCAGACTTCTCTTATTGCTATTTTGAATGTTATGATTTTTTTTTTTTTTAGATGGAATTTCACTCTTGTCACCCAGGCTGTAGTGCAATGGCACGATCTCGGCTCACTGCAACCTCCACCTCCTGGGTTCAAGCGATTCTCCTGCCTCAGCATCCTAAGTAGCTGGGATTAACAAGCATAAGCCACCACGCCCAGCTAATTTTTGTATTTTTAGTAGAGACGGGGTTTTACCATGTTGGCCAGGCTAGTCTCGAACTCCTGGCCTCAGGTGATCCACCCACCTCGGCCTTCCAAAGCGTTGGGATTTACAGGTGTGAGCCACCGTGCCCGGCCATAATTCTTAATTTAGAAAACTGTATTTAACAGTCAAAGAAAGTTAGAATCTAAGGGTTTTTTTTTGTTATTTATTTTTCTTGTTTTAAACTCCTTGCACCCCTCCTGTTTTTGTTAATCTCCTCATGTATGATGGTGTTAAGGTCTTTTAAATCACACTAGAGAATAGTAGAAGAGATGAGTAATAAAGGGAAAACAAGAACTGTTACTAAGAGGCAACTTTTTGGCAGATTCTATGAAAACTCATGTAATTTTCATTTAATTTGCCCCATGATACTGTCTGTATCCTACAGATAAAGAAGCGGAGGCCTGGAGAGGTTTATTCTCTCCCCAGAGGTCTCAGAAGTTTTCTTTTCTTTCTTTTTTTTTTTTTTTGTTTGTTTTTTTGCAAGTTCATATTCAATCCCAAGGTTGTCTGACTGCAAACCTACATTCCTTTATGAAGGGGAAGCTCCCTTCCTCTGTTTTCATGTTGTGGCTTTAAAATCTCTAAAGCAGCTGGGTGCTGTGGTGCACACCTGTATTTCCAGCTACTCGAGGCTGAGACAGGAGAATCAATTGAGCCCAGGAGTTCAAGACCAGCCTATGCAACATAGTGGGACCTCTCCTCAAAAAAAGAAGAAAAGTTGGGCACGGTGGCTCACGCCTGTATTCCCAGCACTTTGGGAGGCCGAGGCGGGTGGATCTGAGGTCAGGAGTTTGAAACCAGCCTGGCCAACGTGGTGAAATCCCATCTCTACTAAATATAGAAAAATTAGCCGAGCGTGGTGGCAGGTGCCTGTAATCCCAGCAACTCAGGGGGCTGAGGCAGAATTGCTTGGACCCGGGAGGCGGAGGTTTCAGTGAGCCAACATCATGCACTCCAGCCTGGGCAACAAGAGTGAGACTTTATCTCAAAAAAAAAAAAAGAAAGAAAAAAAAAACTGGCAGGGCACAGTGGGTGACACCTGTAATCCCAACATTTTGAGAGGCCGAGGCAGTGTATCACTTGAGATCAGTAGTTGAAGACCAGCCTTCCTCTGGTGAAACCTCATCTCTACAAAAATATGAAAATTAGTTGGGCTTGGTGGTGGGCACCTGTAATCCCGGCTGCCTGGGAGGCCAAGGCACAAGAATCACTTGAACCCAGGAGGTGGAGGTTGCAGTGAGCCAAGATCGTGCCCCTGCACTCCAGCCTGAGCGACAGAGCAAGACTCCATCTCAAAAAGAAGAAAAAAAACTTTATGCCTCAGCTATATTAAATTAGCAGAATTTTTTAGCTTTGGACTCCAATACGCATAAAACTTGTGTGAAACAATTGCAATCTTTTCCCCTTCCTTCCTTCCTTCCTTCCTTCCTTCCTTCCTTCCTTCCTTCCTTCCTTCCTTCCTTCCTCCCTCCCTCCCTCCCTCCCTCCCTCCCTCCCTCCCTCCCTTCCTTCTGACAGTGCCTCTGTTGCCCAGGTTAGAGTGCAGTGGCATGATCTCAGATCACTGCAACCTCTTGGGCTCAAGCATTTCTCCCACCTTAGACTTCAAGTAGCTGAGACTACAAGTGTGTGCCGTGAGGCCAGCTAATTTTTGTATATTTAGTAGACAGAATTTTGCCATATTGCTCAGGCTGATGTTGAACTCCTGGGCTCAAGTGACCCCCCTGCCTCGGTGTCCCAAAATGTTGGGATTGTAGGCATGAGCCACCACATCCAGCATTAATTTTAAAACTTCTAATCTTCAAATCCATTGTTATTTTAATATAATTTGGTTTAGGGAGAAATAATTATATTAAATACATTCTCTGATACATAAAAAAAATTCAGCTGTTAATCTCAACATTACATTGAAATGTAAATAAATAAGATGTAAAATAGTAGAGTGTTTTTGGATAAACTTTACTATTACTAATATTCAAAGAAAATCTTGGGAAAAAGTTGTCTGAGAGTTAAAAGGGCACTGAGTCAACTTATTTTGCACCCTTTGATGGAAAAACTTGAGAATGTTTGGGCCATGTCTCTTCTCTGCTGACAAGAATTAAGTCAGCTGCATTGATTGTGTTCTGAGAAAAAGCCCAAGAAAGCTCATGTATTTGGTTTCTAATTTCAGTGTTAAATTATTTCAATTTTGCTCTTAGATGCTTCCCATAATCCTGGCACATTAAAAGATGCTTCGTTTTTATTTAACAAGACTAGTAGGTTTGGGACACCTTTAAATCCTCACTTCAGAGACTACCAAAGAAATATTCTTTGACTCAGATATTTAGGTGGAAGTCAGCTCTCTGTTAGTGACTAAATATCATGCCTGTTGTGGTGCTGCTGATGGGCAAATCAGGGAGCCATTCATTCTTGCCAGGGGAGATAAATGCTGTTAGATTGCTCTTTTTTGAAGGAGGTCAGAAAAAGCTTTGATTGACTGTGAATGACTGTAGATAAAACCTAAAGTATATGCTTTGCCATTATCAGCCCACCAGCCTTCTAAGCTTCAAAAAATTAAAAATAGTGATCCCTTAGTAACTCAGTCTGTGGGTATTTAGGAGCCAGATGGAGACCATATGCCCATACATATTCCTTTTTATCTGCTGTGGTGGGACAGTGATGGTCCCTCTTCAATTAAAAAAAAAAGTATAATGAAGTTTGGCTGATTATTTAATACTTGAATTGTTTCATGAATTGCCAACATTAAGTCATATATTCTTTCAAAGAGTGATTAATTCATTTATTCAACTCCTTGTTACATGCTGGAGATACAGAATGAATGACTCATAGTTCTGACCCTGAGGAGCTCAGAGTCAAACTTTATGGGATGAACTAAAGTCTAATGGGATAAAAACATTAAGTGCTACCATGAGAACAGAGAGGATGACATGTAACTCCGAGTGGAACAGGTAAGAGCATTGGCATGTGGAAGAGTGTATAAGGTCATAATGACTGGTGCACAAGTGAGTGAGGAGGTGAGATGGGAGATGCAGCTGCTTGGAGAGGTAGGTCAGGATTGGATCAGGAAGGATGAGTTTATTCTTTAGACAATATGAACCCAACCCACCAGTGGGTTTTAAGTGGAAATGGTATGATCAACTTCATGTCCTACAGATATTCGTCTTAAGGAAACTGGGTATGGTTATACAGATTGAGGACTGTACACCCCAAAGTGTGCCATTTACATCATCATGGATATGACTAGTGTTACTTAGGTGTCCACAACCTCCACAATTGGGCACAGGAATTTATGGTACAAAGTGTGTGTGTGTGTGTGTGTGTGTGTGTGTGTGTGTGTGTGTGTGACTCTGCAGTATGTTGTGCTGCTCAGAGGACAGATAACATGTCCTAGCCTTCTTTGTGTCTCCAGAGCTAGCACTGTATCCATCAGACACTGGTTTTAAACACTAGAAAAGCATTGGATAAAATAGACAAAAATCACTGATCTCGTGGTGCTTAATATTCTAGTGGAGGGGGTGGGAGGAGAGAGACAATAAGCATATGATTCTATAATAAGCATATGATTCTTCTGTCCCTGGAGAAGGTAAGTGCTGTGGTGGTGAAGCAAGAAGGATGTGGGGACTGGGCAGTGTGGAAGGTGGTAGGCAGGGTTTACTATTTCATGTGAGGTGTTTGGGGAAGAACTCTGGTAAGATTACATTTTAGGAGACTTGAAAGGGTAGGAGGTCAAACCACATGGACAGCTAAAGGAAGAGCATTCCAGGCAGAAGGAATAACAAGTGCAGAGGCCCTGAGGCAGGGGCTTCTCGCAAAGAGTAAATGAACAATTTCACTGACCAACTGAAGAAGATTCATTATAATTCCTTAAAACTTACAGAAGAAACTGAACTTCATAGAGGCCAACTGAATAGTCTAGCATCAAATCCCTAGGGAGAAGTCAGAACTGAATCTCTTTATCTACTCATGCTTTCTCTTGCTGTTATAAAAATTCTGTTTTTCTAAGGGAATCTGTAAATACTTGTCTAACCAAAAACAAACAAACAAAAAACCATGCAGAGCAAATTTTTCTTTCAAAACCTTTGTCTGCTTTGTACTTCTTTTAGGCATAGGTTCTTGAAATCTAGTTATATACATATATAGGTATTTGTTCTGTTTAATTGTTTACCAAAAATGATAAAATGTCCATATTAGTGTACATGTTACTATTGGTTATCATACCAATTTGTGTTTGAATCAGTTTATTCTTTCAAAGTGAGTTTTATCCTGGTACATACCTGTATATCCCATGGAATATTATGGAGCCATAAAAAAGAATGAAATTGTGTCTGCTGCAGCAACGTGGATGCAGCTGGAGGCCATTATCCTAAGCCAATTAACCCAGGAACAGAAAACCAAATACCACATGTTCTCACTTATAAGTGGGTGCTACATAGTGGGTACTCATGGACATAAAGATGGCAACAGTAGACACTGGGAACTACTAGAGGGGGAGGGAGGGCAAGGGTTGGAAAATTAACTCTTGGGTACTATGCTTAGTACTTGGGTGACGATGGGATCAATTGTACCCCAAACCTCAGCATCACACAGTATACCCAGGTAACAAATCTGCACATTGTTGCCCCTAAATCTGAAATAAAGATTGAAATTATAAAAATAAGATAATAAAAATTAAAACTAAAAGGTGATTTTTTGAAGAACATCTTATTTTTCTCTTCAGTAATGTATTAAATAAATATCTCCTGATGAGTCAAAAATAACTATTACACTGGAAAGTTTTAATATATGACTAATATCTTCTAGCAGCCATTAAGTACTTTTTTCCCTAAAAATTGATGCAACTTTAGTTCCAAGTGACAATTTATCCTGATAATTTTTTGTGCATGAATCTTCTTGATCATTAAAAGATGTGTATGAAAGCTACTACACAGATGTTGCTATTTTGAAAGTGATTTCTGTCTCCATTTCTATGGTTGACATTTTATACTCTACGCATAATGCTAAACAATCAATTTGACAGACACCCCCCAACTAAATCGAATGTCTTCTGATATAGGTATAAACAGACTTTTTTTTTTAAGCCTACCTAACAACTTGGAAACTATTGGGTTAAGTGTTGATTTATTGTTTAAACGGCCATGCCTCATTCTAATGTGAATTTATTACCTCTTGGTCATCAATTTAAAAAGTAGAACAAACTTTTGAAAACTAAAGGTTTTGTTTTTACTTTTGTTTTTTAAGTAGGGGATTCCAAAATTACACCATGGATAGAACTGATGAGCCACTTACAGTTTGATAGTGGCTATTTATTTTTCCTACTTTTAAATTATGTTGAAATTTTTTTAGTGTTAGTAATTTCTAAGAACTCATAATTTCAAATCTAATGGTATTTAATGTGGTCATACAGTGTATTCCAAACCGATTGCAAGAATTAATTTGCTTTCATTTGTTTCACATACTTCACCACGTGATATCTTCCTGTAGCTTTTTTCTTGCTGTATGTTCTACCTATAATCACATTGCAAATTTATGTGTGTCATTTATACTTCTCATAGATATTTTTCTAATGGGTGTAACTAGTGAGTGTAGGTAGTCATTTCTCATGCATTTTTGATGTGTGTTGACATAGATACTCGGTGATAATGTTGAAATATTAATAAGTTTCACTACAAGTTCCCAGAACCATTCATCACTATTTCATTTATTAATATAGCCAGTGAGAGTACACATGATAGAAAACCATAGAGTAATATATTTGAAATTAACTCAGTTCACCAGGATGCAGTCTCTTCTATTTCCAGTCAAATGCTCGAGACATTCTGTCTTTTCATTACTTTCCAGGAGTTACAGCCATTGTGCCATAATTTTCCCTTACTTTATATCACTTTCTTCACACACTTGAAACTCATTGAATACATTTACTTACCCGCATCAAATGAAAGTAAAAAAGTGAAGGACACATTCTCAGGAATAGCCTGCTGCTGTATAGAAAAATCTGATATAGATAGAAAAATCTTGGGTAAGAGTGAATCTTATCTCATTGATGTTTTACATGGCCATCTTCAATGATATTTTGCCATCTCCTTTACAATCACATAGCCAAGGGTCGTCAGCTGGTTAAAATCTAATGCATCATGCATCGTGGCTTATTCTAAAAGTTGAATCCCAAACCATATGCAGTTAATAGAAATAAGAGTGCCAACATATTTTCAGAATATTCCTGATTAGTTTTCTGCAAAATTACTGGTGTGGAGAAAGGAATTCTAAACTTTTACTTATATAATAAAATAGAATCCTGCCAGTGTTTAGTTTTAAAACTATCTGATATATCATTAATATTATTTTATCTGTACTTATGGAAAAACAAATGTAATACAGAAAACTGGATGCATTATTTTAATGCTTTAACTCTAATTTAAAAGTAACTAGATATTCTTAGGTAAAATGATTATTTTGTCAACCTAATTTTTAATGTTAGACTAAGTCATGTAATATTTCTAGATAAAATTCTGCATCTTAATTAATGTGAATGAAATCACATGACTAAGCCCAACATCAGTAGGGTGAGGAAATATTTTCCTCCTAGCAGAAGGAGAGCTTTAGGAGAGTGATGATTACTGTATTAATATTTTAGAAAAGAAACACTGTTGCTTATAGAAGCAATTCAAATGAATGGATGTATCTGTTTTTCTAATCTAATTCGTAAGTTTTAGCTAATTTTAGTCATGTTCTCTTATAAAAATTTCTAGATGATTCTGGTGGTTCTCATAACTTCTTCCCACTAGACTCATGTAGTGACCTAACTTTTAAAATCCGTAACAGCTACATTTGTTTTGTCTTAATTTCATAATGTAAATCCTTATTACTAGGGTTTCACTCTCAGGAATGCCGTTTTGTTTTGCCAAGTATAATAGAGTAGTGTTTCTGAAATACAGAGCTTGACAAAAGGCTTATTCTAGGAGAATAAACAAAATCTGTGAAACATAGTTATATTCAGTCTATAAACTCAAATTAACATTGATTAACCTCTCATTTTGTAGAAAATGACAAAAAATATAATCAGCTATTGTGTCTTTCCCCCTGATTTCTGGAATTACATAGCTATGGGCTACGATAGTGACAAAACACAAATAAAATATAAAATTGAAACTATTATCTAAATAATTGGAAATAAAATCTTTGAGCTAAAATTTCATGACCTTTCAGCAGAAAGTGTTGCGGTCTTCAATTCTGCATCCATTCTCTATTGTGTTTTGTATATGTAAGCACTATTACAAGTGACACAGAAGATGAAATTGATCTTGTAGTTGAAGTACCCATTTTCTGAGGCAAATATAAAACTAATTTTAAATTGCACAGTAAGAGACACTTTTTCTAATATATAATAGGAAAATGCAAATCAGAAAATTGATTGGGAAAAACAAATGACTTCTTTAATCAAAAGGTTAAAATATCCTTCTGTCATCTTTTATTGGGTACATTACATTGTAGGGTGAAAATATTAATTTTTCACTAAATGTTTTATGAGACTTATTATCCAAGTTAAGTCAGCAAACCAGTGAAGATTTTATAATGAGAGAGTAGCCAGTAAAATTGGAAATTGTTTGTGAAAGCCCACAGTTATTGAATTAAAATATTATATGTAATCCTTTTACATACAAAAATTAGTCTGATTTTTAAAAATATATATATATTTTTTCATTTCTTTTTATTTTAGGTTCCAGGGTACATGTGAAGGTTTGTTACATAGGTAAACTCATGCCATGGTGGTTCGTTGTGCAGATTATTTCATCACCCAGGAATTAAGCCCAGTACCCAATAGTTATCTTTTTTGCTCTTCTCCCTCCTCCCTTTCATCACCTTCAGGTAGACCCCAGTGTCTGCTTCCTTCTTTGTGTTCGTAAGTTCTCTTCATTTTGCTCCCACATGTAAGTGAGAAGATGCATTATTTGGTATTCTGTTTCCATATTAGTTTGCTGGGAATAATGACCTCCAACTCCATCCATGTGCTGCAAAAGACGGGATCTTGCTCTTTTTATGGCTGCATAGTATTCCATGGGGTATATGTGCCACGTTTTCTTTATCCAGTCTGTCACTGATGGACATTTAGGTTGAGTCCATGTCTTTGCTATTGTGAATAGTGCTACAGTGAACATTCACATGCAGGTGTCTTTATGGTAGAATGATTTATATTCCTTTCGGTATACACCCAGTAATGGGATTACTGGATCCAATGGTAGTTCTGCTTTTAACTCTTTGAGGAATGGCCACACTGCTTTCCACAATGGTTGAGCCATTTTACACTCCTACCAACAGTGCAAAAAACGTTCCTTTTCTCTGCAAACTCACCAGCATCTGTTTTTTGACTTTTTAATGATTGCCATTCTGACTGGTGGGAGATGCTCCTCATTGTGGTTTTGATTTCCATTTCTCTAATGATCAGTGATATTGAACTTTTTTTCAATATGTTTGCTGGTGACATTATCTATTCTTTTGAGAAGTGTCTGTTCATGTCCTTTGCCCACATTTTAATGGGATTGTTTGGTTTTCTCTTGTAAATTTAAGTTCCTTATAGATGTTGGATATTAGACTTTCGTCAGATGTATAGTTTGCAAATATTTTCTCCCATTCTGTAGGTTGTTTTTTTACTCCATCGATGGTCTTTTGCTGTGCAGAAGCTCTTAGGTTTAATTAAATCCCACTTGTCAATTTTTGCTTTTGTTGCAATTGCTTTTGGTGTCTTTGTCATTAAATCTTTGCTTATTCCTATGTCCAGGTTGGTATTGCCTAGGTTGTCTTTCAAGGTTTTTATAGTTTGGGGCTTTACATTTAAGTCTTTAATCCATCTTCAGTTAATTTTTGTATATGGTGTAAGGAAGGGGTCAAGCTTCACTCTTCTACATATGGCTGGCCAGTTTTCCCAGCACCATTCATTGAATAGGGTGTCTTTTCCCCATTGCTCGTTTCTGTCAGCTCAAAAATAATTTCTTTGGTAAGAGATGTAGCATTGGTTGTTTTAGCCCCACATTTTTACCCACGCTTTCTGGTTGGCTTCTGCTTTGAAACAAATTTGGGGTTTCATACATCTTGCTGCATATTAGAAATCAATATAATGGTTTAAAGGGATTATATGGTAAATTATTAGTCATGAAAATGAGTAATAAATTGGTTAAACGCCAAAAAACAATCAGGAAGAAGAATGTGTCGGAAGTTATTGAAGTAGTTCAGATGTGATTGACTCTGGGCCTGGACCAGGCCTCTAGTGGCGGGTTTTGAGCAAGTAACGATAACAATAACTCTAAGTTTAGGATTAAAAAATGTAATGCTTTTTTTTTTTTTTTTTTTTTTTTGAGACAGGATCTTGCTCTCTTGCCCAGGCTGGAGTGCAGTGGCATGATCATAGCTCATTAAAGCCTCAAACTCCTGGGCTCAAGGGATCATCCTGCCTGAGCCTCACTAGTAGCTAGAATTACAGGTGCATGTCACCATGCCCAGGCAATTTTTTAAATTTTTGTAGAAATGGGGTTTTGCTGTGTTGTCCAGGCTGGTCTCGAAATCGTGGCCTCAAGTGATTCTCCTGTCTCAGCCTCCCAAAATGCTGGGATTATAGGCGTGAGCCACTGCACCCGGCCTCCCCTACATGTTAAGATTGCTCTTTACTGCATTCTGTCTTGAAGGGAAAAGATTTATGATTTGTATTTAAAGGAAGAATTGATAGTTTTGGTGATAACTAAACTCTAAAGAATAAGATGAAGAAAGAAGGAATGGCTATGCCTTTGAACTGAATAATGTAGCTAAGAGAGGTGAGTGAAGGAGTTTGATACAATAATGAAACATCCAAGTGGAGCTCTTCTGTTGGTATTTGGAGATCTAGAACTGGAACTGATCAGGAAGGATGGGAAATATAGACAGGAAGTCAGTGGCAGAAGGACGATCCCTGAGGTTATTTTATTTTTATTTTTTGAGGTATTTTTTACATACAATAAAACACTTATTTTAAAGGTGCAGTTCAAAGAATTTAACAATTGTATACTCTCATGTAAGATCTGAACATTTCCATCACCCAGAAAGGCCTTGTGTCCCTGTCCAATAAATGCACTGCTTCCTCCAAACCCCTAGACAGCCACTTTCTGATGCCTTTTACCACCAGTTAGTTCTAGATCTTCATGTATGGAATCGTGTTCTTTTTTTTCAGCCTTCTTTCATTGCATAATGTTTTTGAGATTCTTGCATGTTGTTGCATTGCTAAATAGTATTCCATTGTGTGGGTATAACATAATTTACCTATTCACTTCTTGATGGACATTTGGATTGTTTTTAGTTTGAGACTATTATAAGGCTAGATGAAGGTCTGTGTGTGCAACTTTTCTGTGGACATATGTTTTTATTTCTCTTAGGTAAATACTGAAGAAGGGGATTGCTAGCTCAAAGGTAGATGCGTGTTTATCTTTAGAATAAACTACCAAAGAGTTTTCTATAAGATTTGTTCAATTCACAGGAACAGATATCAAGGACCCAGTTTGGGAGGAAGGCCTGCAGTAAGGAGACAGATGAAGGAAGAAGATTTAATAACACACACACACACACACACACACACACACACACACACACAGCACAGGGGCAGGGAGAAAGAGACAGACAGGGAGAGAGGGAGAAAGCTTAGAGAAGCACCACGAAAATGGGTTCCATCTTTCTGAGGTTCCAGAAGAATAAAATGTGAGAAGCCTGTTTAGTTAGTTGAGGGAAAAAAAGTGAACTAGAGATAGTACAGATCTAGTTTAGTTATGAAAAGGACAAACAAGCCAGGATATATAGCAGGTTAATAGGAAGGAATTGTCAGTGCTAACGGAGTAGGAACCTAAGATTCATGGGGAGGCAAATGTAGAAATGTGTAAGGGAGATGAGAAAAATAAGAATGACAGTCAGAGGAGTGAAGGTCATTTCTGTACACTAGAGATCGATTGGAATGAAGAGAAAATTTTAGACAGTTCCTCCAATAATTGCGTTTGAGAAGACTCCCTAATTACAACATGTTTTTGTGTATGTCTGTAAAATAAGCTTGCTTATCTGATAATTATCTGGATAGATTGATGTAGGCATCAATTTATGAAGTTTGACCCATTCAAAATATACTTATTAAAAGCCCAGTATATGCCAGAGTTATTTTTATCTCCTCCTCTCTGTTTACTATTTATTCTAGGTACATCATCTTTATCTTCTTATCCATATGAACTTTAAAAGTTCTCCTTCCTTCATCTGATCTGTTAGATTCTAAAAATATTTATGAATAAATACTTGTAAATTGTAAACCCAAAGTTTATGTTGAGTCTTGGTTTGTCCCGAGTAGAAAACAAGGAGCTTTTCTTTTGTAACAGTCCTGTCTCCATATTTTATAGCTCTCTAACCTTCCGTCTCTTATCATTTGGAAAAACAAGAGTTTCTTAAGTGCTTTTCAGATTTCTGTACTTGTAAAGTGCCCAGGTATTATTTAGTTAATTGTTTATATTGCATAAAACTAGGATCATAAAATCAAAATTGCAGATAAACATTACTGATTTATCCAGATTCCTACCATGTAACTTCCAGTGAATGCGTTTGCATTGTTCTATAAAATGGCATCACTGACACCAGAAGGAAATTCTCATACTTCATTCTCATATTTCATTTATTCAGTGTGTATTGAACATTTGCCATATGTAAGATACCAAGCTAGGTTTGTGGAGGAGACAGGTAGAGAATATCATCCTTAACATGACAAGAGGCATTTCCTTTGGTGTCCATTATACCTAGGGTGTTTGTATTCAAAGAGAATTTCCAGTGAATTTAAATTTTTTTGTGCATTACAGTAATTTCTGCTCTCTTTCATGGGAGAAGCTTACATTTATTGAGCATTCAATACATGCCAAAAATCAGCAGTCAGTGTGGAAGGTCTGCGTGGATCAGGCAGAGCCATCTTTATCATGGGGAAAAATAAGATTCAAGATTGTCTCATATGTCGTCCCAATTCTGTGCAGAAAAAATCATGAAAACTTTCTTTTTAGCAAATCTCATGCTTGTAAAATCCAGACTTTGTTGATTTTGAAACCAGTCATAAAGAGATAGAGTGGAACAGTAATAACCTGGCTCTATCTAGGAGACAGGAGCACAAAGACGCGTCTGTACTCCTTGTTTCATTTTAAGACTAGGGTCAGATATCCCATGTGGTGCAGAGCACAGAGAACATAAGCAATCTGATCCATTTGTTAATGTAATGGCTTCTTTATTTTGTGGGCTATTTACAAAGAAGTTGAACCTTGCATAGGGACAGGTTAATTTAAACATCCCTTCATGATCTTTGCACTCTGGAAAATATTCTTTAAAGAAAGAATATAGGGTAATTGAAGATGGTGAAAAGATCAGAATGACACACTGACAGCTGGGAAGGGTTAAGTTTTTGAAATTACTTCATCAGGAGAAGGGGAACTTAAGGCTACTTTCAAAGTCATCCTTTAAATATATTGAATATTGTCAGATAACAGGCAGGGTTGAACTGTGTTTCAACTGTAATATATATAAAGTCAGGATTCCACATAGAAAAGTTAAATGTTTTCTGTACTAAACTATACCCACAGGTATGTATAATTATGTATTCGTAACCTTATTATTTTATTTGTATCTTTTGAGACAGGGTCTTGCTCTGTCGCCCAGGCTGGAGTGCAGTGGCGCAATCTTGCTCACTGCAACCTCTGCCTCCTGGGTTCAAGCGATTCTCATACCTCAGCCTCCTGAGTAGCTAAGACTACAAGCGCATACCATCACGCCTGGCTAATTTTTGTATTTTTAATAGAGACAGGGTTTCGCCATGTTGGCCAGGCTGGTCTCGAACTCCCGACCTCAGATGATCCGCCTGCCTCGGCCTCCCAAAGTGCCGGGATTACAGGCATGAGCCATCACACCCGGCCTGTCACCTTTTTAAAAAGGCTATCCCAGTATGTGTTGAAGAAGCAGATTTTCAAAGGTGGCTTGAGGAGCTGATAACCCCCTCACTGCCAAGTAGTGGACCTGGAAGTGTTGCCTCACCTTTGTGGATTTTTTTTTCCTGCAACCAGAAAACAAGGAGTTTGGACTAAATTATGTCTTAGGTCCTATTCAATCTGTGATGGAATGAGTTAGCGATTTATCAACATACTTGAAAAACCTGAGCCCTCCTGTGTAAATATAACTTCTTGGGACCACCAGTTGTCCTTTGTCATTTGGTCATGTGGTTTGTGTTTTCACTATCATGACGCACCGTGACTGTGTCTGAAATGACAGATTCACCTTAAGTAGGAGAGTATGGATGTTGTGATTTAGCACAGTTAGATTCACATGTATCTGTTGGTTCTTTAATAATCAGTTATTTCAATTTAAATAAGAGTTTGGAATTTAGAGTTTCAGTAATCAAACTATTAAAGAAGATTTAATATAATAGGATTTATAAGAGGCACAATAAAAAGTATCAAGAAATTTACATGTGAGAAATACTAGTCATGAAGACAATAGTTGTACTGGAAAGGAGTCTTAATCCAGGAAATGCATTCATAGCTCCAAGCTTATTAACTCTTATTGTGGCCTAACAAAGGACTTTGTCAACTATAAACTCTCAGAATGAGAATTAGAGTTGGTGTCAGAAAATTAGCCTCAATGTGCTTTTTAAAATGGTACCTATAGATGTCTAGGTCTTATAGAAGTGTTTGGGGATCATTTTAATGAATTTTAATTTTTTAAAAATTGCAGTTATATCAAAATCACATATAAAAGAGTTTCCTACTAATATTTTTACAAACTTGGAGCCTATAACTGTGTCAATTTGTTCTATCAGATTATCTTATTTGGGGGCAGACCGCACACACATCTGACCATCTCTGCTGATGTGTTTAAAATTCCTATAAATGAGATCCTTGAGATGGTGAATGCAAGAACTTAGCACAATGCCTGTAATGTAATAAAACCTCAAGAGATGGTAGTTGCTGCAGCTTCCTGTTATCGCTCTTTTTATTATATACCATTGGGTAGAAAGGTTGTCACTTTGTACTAGTTGTTTTCAAATTCATGTCTGCAGATGTCCACTCACATAAAATTGCACAGTTGAGTACGTTACTAGAGCACACATGTGCCAGACTCAATTAAACGTCAGGCAGAGTGAGACACGTGTTCAGCATGTGCCCTCTCCACAGCCTGGCAATCACTTGTATAATAAGTGAATGTTTTGCATGTACAGCCGCAGTAATGTAGAGCAAATCATTTTGGTTCTAATTTTTAGTGTTTATAATGATAAAAAATATAAACTTTCATTAGAAATTTTTATTAACTTTGAAGCAAAAACTTTTATTACTTTTTTCATGCTTCTAGGTAATTGTGTTATTATTAAGGCATGACACGTACATTGTTCAGTTTACAGATCTTAAGTGTACAGCTCAGTGAATTTTTACATTTGTATACACCCATGCGACCTTCATACAGATCATGATATAGACTGTTTTGAGCAGTCAGAAGCTTCCCTTATTCCCTTCTAACTAGTAATAATTTATATTATTTTAGTACTTTTCCACCCTGTGATAATCTAGATTATTCTAGTGAAGAGGATTCTGAGACTGCAAAATGGCCTGCTAAAGACTCTTACTTTTTAACTGTGAATTTCAGTAAATCTTGATTCTTTTACACTCTCTAATTGAAACAAAATGCAAGATAAATTGGATGCTGCCATCGATACCACAAAAAATAAGATTTTAGGATTTATCAAACTTTTTTTATGTTGGCTTCATAAAAAAGATTTTAATTTATAAAATACATTTATTATAACTAGAGATCAATATTGACCTTTTTATACTTTGAGATTCTGTGCACAATTTCATTGTAAAAAATCTCCCTCTAGAACTAGCAGCTTTCCTCTAAGACGTGAGTATACATTGGTGGGTTAGGACTCACTGGTATGTTGGGTTGGATGAGAGGAGAGTAGAGTTGCAGTTAATTTACTGAAGATGTCAACCTACTGTCTGTGCCATAGCCATGGTGAGTGACCTTCATTAATCTGGGTTTGTGTCTCTTGGCCTGTGTCTATATGACTATGTATATAAACATAGGAACTACATGTCTATAAACATGGAGGTAAAAGCAGTTGAAAATAGCTGATTTAGGTCAGTGGTTTTGCCATGTTTAGTACATTCTGCCAACCAAATAGCATGTTGCGAGGAATCATTTTTGAGAGTACTACAGCATGATGCCGATGAACTAGATTCCTGTTTTGATGATTGTATTCTCTGGTCCACAAGGCTCATAATTCCAGACCAATAGCCATGACATTTGATCTGACAATAGGACTGAATATTGTATTTCTTTCCTTATTCCTTTTCCATTTCAGAAGAAATTTGGGGGTAATTTATATAAATGGTATTTGCTGTAATGTAATTGAAAAAGTAACAACCAAGCAAACAAATCAAACAAATCATACTACAGGAAAAAATAATGCAAGTACAGTTGGATAAAGCTAAGGAAATGTTACTACCTAGATATGCAGAGCATAAGGTTCTGTATAATAAATAGAGACTGGATCCTACTGCCATTCACACATGCCTAAAAGTCACATTTCTAAGGTTTTACCCTAGGAGAACAGCCACAAAATGTCCCCCTAAAGAAGACAATATATATTTTTTAACCTGACAGCTTATTTCAAATGACAAACAGCTCATGTGGCAGGAAAAAAAAAGAATGACAGTTTAAAGAGGAAATGTGACAAATTGCATTGAAATTCTGCTGCAGAATCACTTATTTTTATAAAAATGCTCTAATTTCAAATACATCATTAGATAATAATGTAGCAATAAATTGTAGCTTTCACTACATATGAATAGGCACATGAATATACACTTGTATTAGTAAACTCTAGTAAAGATTTTTACTCTGCCTATACAAATTATGAATTACATATACTTTAATTTCTATCATATTTTGTTTGTATCCATTTAATTTTCACATAGCTTAAACACGAAGTGAAGAGAGCTGTTTAGGATCTGGGAAATAATAAAAATGAATTCTTTTAAAATTTATTTCTGGTGAATTCGAAATGCAGAACATGTCTTTCAAGAGACAACTCCCCCTTTTTCTCAAAAATGTCAAGATCAGACTAGAAAAATTTTCATCCAAGGCAATGTGTTATTTTTATTGTCTGAAGGAACAGGGGAGACTTTCATGGAAGAGAGAGCATGGTTTAGTGAAAGCCCAGGCTGAGAGCCCTTACTCCTGAACTTGAATCCCACCTTTCTGCTGGGCTGGCCCTGTGTGCAAGTCAACCAGGCTCAGTACCTACATCTGCAACATGGAGCTAAGGGTATCTGCTCCTTCCTTGCCCATTAGACTGTAAGGAGGGAAACATTAGTATTAGCTGGAGAGTTCTTTGGTTTCTTAGCGAAATTGGTACTAAATGATGCACTGTGGCTTTCTAAGAAAATGCTTTCTATGCAGTGTCAGCCCCCAGGACCATGCGCAACACTGCATGCAGCAGATAGAATGCAACATAAAATTATATGCATAACTTTATTTTGAATATCACCCTGGAAAGTATTGGGTTTTCATTGCTGTAAAATCATGTTACCAGGAGTCACTTCACAAAATACTTGATAATAGAAGGATCACTTGCATTCTAATCACCAAACAGTACAATTTTTTTAAAGGAAGCACAAAAATAAAATTATAACAAATATATTGGCCAAAGCAGACTGATGTAGATTTGGACTTATATTTTAAAATCTTAAATTATTATAAGAATAATAAGTTTTACTATTTGGTTTAATATTTTAATAAAAATAAAAAATGAAAAGTTTGACCATTCAAACATCATTTGTAAGTTAAGGATTAGCTATAAAAGTCAGACATAGACATTTGCAACCTGTTTTTGGAAGCTACTATGAATTGCTGAATTGTTTTTCATTTATGGCCTGAAATTTGAAAGCTAAGTACTGTTATGTGAACAGCGAATTGGAAAAGGGAATAAAATATTGTGTACTCAGTGGTGATTATGCACCAGGCACACCACATTCCTTACCTGTTTTTCATCCCTACAACTGCACAAAGTAGGTATTAATAGTTCCACCTCAGAGATGAGGAACCTAGAATTGTACAAAATTAGAGGCCAGGCACGGTGGCTCACACCTGTAATCCCAGCACTTTGGGAGGCCGAGGTGGGCGGATCACAAGGTCAGGAGATCGAGACCATCCTGGCTAACACGGTGAAACCCCGTCTCTACTAAAAATACAAAAAATAAACCGGGCGTAGTGGCGGACGCCTGTAGTCCCAGCTACTCGGGAGGCTGAGGCAGGAGAATGGCGTGAACCCGGGAGGCGGAGCTTGCAGTGAGCGGAGATGGCACCACCGCACTCCAGCCTGGGCGACAGAGCGAGACTCTGTCTCAAAGAAAAAAAAAAAAAAAAAGATTAGAGATAGTGTATTTGGGACTAGAGTCCAAACCTAGCCCTAACTGGGAAACTTTTATTTCCATTACACTTGGGAAGAACACAGAAGATATTAGTCCCTGCGTGGCAAGAATCTCACTCTGTGAGCTGGAGTAAATTTTGCGTGGTCTTACCCTGGGTCAGGTTAGGGCTTAGGTGGGAACAGACTAGATGATGTCCAGAACGTTTTCTGGCTCCCAGGTCTCTCAGGGTGGTGAAAAAAGAAGTATGTGTAGAATTGGTGCTTATTTCTCTCTGACTAGCGCTACTGTGACACCCAACAAGTCCCAAAAATCCTTAGGGTGCTCATTTACAGAAAGAAGATGTAGCAATTAATGCCTCTGTTCCTGCTGCAGGACTTTTGTGAAGTCCAGATAACATGGAGAAGGTATTTTGTGACTCTAAAGTACTTCAGAGATGTAGAGTATCACCATGGTCCAGCAGTCATACCCTCACTTCAGGACCAACAATCGAAAGTATTTGTGGAAAAACAAAGGTCTGCCAACCTTCCATTTATGCAATATGATTTATGAAACTGTTCTATGTTATCAAGATCATTTGTGCCCTTAACTCATCAAAGGAAAATGAAAAAAAAGTCATTCTCAGTAGTTTTATTAATGACTCAAACTGTTACAACTTGCAGAAAATGCAGTCTGAATAGCTTTCAGAAATAGCAACAAACTATTTTGAAATGTACACAAAGTGTGAAATTTTCTTTAGAATGAATTCAGCAGAATTTGCTGAGACTTACCATACTGTGGACCAGAAAGGCATTAAAACTCCTCACTTTTCACTAGAGTATGATTTTTATTTGTATCATAATTAGCAGAATGGGTAGGTGCAAGTTTCATACTTTATAAGAAAATTAATTGCAGAGGAGTCCCGTTTGTCTAGCTACTTACTTAATTTGAAATTTAATGTATAAAATTGAAATGTTCTGAAACAAAAATGAAAACTGAGATAAAAGCAGTTTAATGGAGGGAACAAAAATCTTTAAAAATAAAAAAAAAAAATTAGCAGGCATTTATAGATAAAGGGAACATGATGTGTGCTTGATATACGAGCACAAAGGTGTTCCACAGGCCCAGGGCTGACCCATCCTTTACAGAACAGCCCTTGGCAGTCACCATGAACCACCCTGTATTGTTGAACTGAATGTTTGGTCTTAAACTATAGCTGCCTACATGCATTTGAGAGGTAGGTATATTTATTGTTTTCTATAGGCCATCATTTTGTATCTTCATTGATTTTCTGAATGACAAAAATATTATCAAGAAAGGAACAAAAAGATCCTTATAAAGGAATGATGCATTTGGCTTGAGCTAGAGCAAACTCCTCAGATTCCCTACTGTAACTTCCAGATCAGTTGCTTTGAAACGGATTTAAAATAAACTTATGTGAATTCCAAAAAGAAATATAATTGTCTGCATTTGCCAAATTTTCCATAATGATAATTTTACCAGGGAAAATATATAACAAAACCCAATACATAATGAACAAACTACAATTTTGCATATGAAAAGTAAGTCAAATAGGGAAAGAAGTCATCAAAGAAAAGTGTCTTATTGAGCAATGAGACTTTATATTATAAGAGAACCCTGAGAGGTTTCATCAGTAGTTATTTTTATTAAATAAAGTGTGTTTTTATTACCTAAAATACTTTTATTAAATACAGTCTATTACAATTATTGTCCCCAAGGTTCCTCTTACCCTTCCTGTCCCTCTCTTTTCCCTGACTTCCTTTTAGATTTGGTTATTTCTACCTCCTGCAAACTAGAAATTTTAAAGTTGTCACAGTAGTCATGATGGCTCTTGTAATACAAAAAAATGTACTACGTACTTTTTTTTGTTTAAAAATAAAATATTTTCTATGAATCATTTTGTTAAATAGTCTCCAAGTCAAATCATTGTATCTTCGAGAACAGAAGTGGATGCTCCACTGCCCACTACATATACTGTGGAGCCAAATGCTTGAGTTCCAATCCCCAAACTTCCATGTACCAGCTTTGTGATCTTTCAAGTTACTTAGTTTCTCTAAATTGCAGTTTATTTGCTTGGTTTCCACAAGCAACGTACCTATCTACATCATGTAAAGATTAAATGAAATGTTTGTAATGTGCTTAGCAGAGAACATGGCACAGAGCAAGAACTCAAGAAATTGTCATTTGAAAAATTAATTTACTGATTATTTAATCAATAATTGGATAAAGTATCTATTGAGGACCTGTTTTGTGAAAGGGACTATATTTTACCCTGGAGAGAATACAGCTTGGCTAGGTTTGAGTACAAATTTGCCTCTCTGACTAACTACATGACCTGGGACAAGCTATATAACATCTTAGAACTTGTTCCATCATTCATAAGATGGGTTGTTTTTAATGTTGTCACATGGTTGTTTCAGGGAGAGACTTGCAGAGTATCTGGAACAGTCCCTGGCAAAAAAGCAGGTGCTCCATAAATTAACTATATATAGTTGTTACAGATGTTACAATTTAGGTTCTTCAAGAATGAAAAGTAGAGAGAGAAAACTTACCATCATATAAAGAAGAAATGATCAAGAAAACAAAGCTATAAGTGAAAAACATGTACTCTAACAATACCATGTATCCAGTCTGTTTAGAGGAGGTGAGAGAGAAAAATCACTTCTGCCTGAGGTGGTCCAGGAGGGCTTCATGGCAGAGATGGGGCTTGTTCTTGCTTTGTTTTGTTTTTTTGTTTGTGTTTGTTTTGAGACAGGGCCTCACTCCGTCGCCCAAGCTAGAGTGCAGCGGTGTGATCAGAGCTCACTGCAGCCTTGACCTCCTGGGCTCAAGCATTCCTCGCACCTCAGCCTCCCAAGTCACTGGGACTACAGGTGCACGCCACCATGCCCAGCTAATTTTTTTTTTTTTTTTTTGTATTTGTAATTTTTATTTTTTTCGTATTTTTTGCATAGTAGGGGTGGGGTTTTTCCATGTTGCCCAGGCTGGTCTTGAACTCCTGGGCTCAAGCAATCCTCCCACCTCGGCCTCCCAAAGTGTTGGAATTACAGGCATGAGCCACCACACCTGGCCTTGTTCTGTGCTTTGAAAGATAGGCAGGATTTATATGTCAGTGGCAGAGAAAGGCATTTCTGATGAGTGGGATAGTGTAAGCTGAAGCCCTATAACAACAACAAATACAAGCCTAGGGGAAAAGGTTTATAGAGAAGTGATGTGAAATAGTACCAGTGGGTTAGGGGTAGAACATGAGAGTTTTTAATGTCATGTTAAGGAGTTAAGGGTTAATTCTGCAGACACTGAGAACCCCCTTGATGGTTATTGAACTAGGGTTGAGATAATGAAAGCAGGAGTTTAGAGAAGTGTTTTTAGGGTTCTTGGTTGCTGATAATAGAATCCACCACGTTAACAATTTATGATGAAAGGGAGTTAAATGTCATTATGCCAGCAGAGCAGCCAGAGGACGCTTCTAGCAAAACACCTCTGCCACTCACTGCTCACCAGTTGCACCTCTAATTGGAGCTGGATGCCAGAATCTCTCCCCAGCTGCCCCAGAATGACTTACGTCTCAGCTGTCATGCTTGCCAGAAGACCCAGCCTCTTTGCACAGGGCAACTCCCTAACACTGCTCACCTCTGTCTTGCTTTGGCTTGGTGGAAGCTAGCTTGCACACAGAAGCTTAGTTGCAAAGGCCTCTGGGAAATGTAGGTTTTAGCTTCCTAGGCTCTTTTCTTTAAGATGTCAAAAGACAGGGGGCTGGAAGGAATGCTGAGCTGCCTTCCGCTATCTGCCCAGAAGGCTCATCTATTAGTAGTGTGTCAAATGGATAGGCAGGAACAGAGATGGATGCATGGCATCCAGCAGATAATAGTGTGCTATACACGAGATGCCAACCACCTCCTTTAGAGGGATTGCAATAGCAGTCAAAAATAAGGGATAGTGAAGATACCTCAGAGCATGACTCTCTAAGTGTTATTGACTATAAAGAATGAGAGAGAAGTCAACAATGATTACATGGCTCTGAAATCTATCTTGCAAAATACTTACTTTACTAAAAAAAAAAAAATGGGCAGAGATTTGGTATATAAGTTTGGTTTTAGATATGTTGAGTTTGTATTAATAGTGGATATCCAAGTGAACATAGCCAATAAGGAGTTGGAAATGCACAATTAAAATTGGGCAAGATTAAAGCTGAAGATGTAACTTTGGGTAGAAGGCTACCTGCAGTGAGGTAAAAAGACATTTCATTAGAAAATAAAATGGGCGAGGCTTTGTGGCCCATTCCTGTAATCCCAGCACTTTGGGAGACGGAGGTGAGCGGATCACTTGAGTCCAGAAGTTCAAGACCAGCCTGGATAACATAGGGAGACCCTGTCTCTACAAAAAATACAAAAATTAGCATGGTGTGGTGGCACCACCTGTAGTTCCAGCTACTTGGTGTCTGAGGCGGGAGGATCACTTGAGCCTGGGAGGCTGAGGCTTCAGTGAGCTGTGATTGTGCCACTGTACTCCAGCCTGGGTGACAAAGCAAGATCCTGTCTTAAAAAAAAAAAAAAATTAGATAATTACATCATTTATTGAACGAAAATAAAGATAACCAAGGGAGGAAAAAAGACTAATTTCTCTGGAGTAGCCCTACTATGAAAATGTAACTTTGGGAGACACCAGCATGATGTACCTTCATGAATGTCTGTGCAGACAGGGTAGAGGAGGTAAAGAAAGAGCTAAAGAAGGAGATGAGGCCGGGCGCAGTGGCTCACACCTGTAATCTCAGCACTTTGGGAGGCCAAGGCGGGTGGATCACGAGGTCAGGAGATTGAGACCATCCTGGCTAACACGGTGAAACCCCGTCTCTACAAAAAATGCAAAAACAAAAAACTAGCCGGGCATGGTGGGGGGTGTCTGTAATTCCAGCTACTCAGGAGGATGAGGCAGGAGAATGGCTTGAACTCAGGAGGCGGAGCTTGCAGTGAGCCTAGATCGTGCCACTGCACTCCAGCCTGGGCAACAGAGCGAGACTCCTTCTCAAAAAAAAAAAAAAAAAGGAGATGAGGAAGTATGTCAGAGATGCTGGAGTGGAGGAGGAGATGGGATAGTACAGTGACATGGAGGCCAAGAGAAGTGCAGGTTTCAGGTCTGTTGTGTGCGGAGTGGGGGGTCAGCAAGGCTCGTTACTGAAGTAAGTTCGCACTGGATTAAAATCAGTATTAGAGTTATGGAAGTAGAAGCCAGATCACAGAGAGAAAACGACGACAAAAATACAAGTCTGGAGAGAAAGGTTTATAGAGAAGTGATGTGAAATAGTGGGTTAGGGACAGAACATGAGAGTCTTTAATGTCATGTTAAGGAGTTAAGGGTTAATTTTATACATATTGAGAACCCCTTTGATGGTTTTTGAACTAGGGTTGATATAATGAGAGAGACAGTTGATACAATGGTTGATAGAATGAAAAGAAAGCGATGCATAAGAATTACAGTAAGATATAGGCCACCCACTGCAGATGGTAAGCTCTGAAAGAAGCAACAGAGATTGTGACTTCTTTTCCTTCTTTTAATTTAAAGGGAGTCTGTTCTGTACATAGCTGAGGGCCAGGGAAAGAGTCTTAATAAACAGAGGTGATAGAAGTCAGGCATTTCTTATCAGAAATAAACACAATTTGTGTTTATAAAATGCTCTTGGGAGTCTTAAGTACATTGAGCAGCGTTCTGTGGACTTGTGACATTGGAGGTGTTTTGACAGGAGCATATGTGTACCTGTGGAAATATAACATGATAGCCCATTCTAAGGAAGCGTTTGTGTTAGAACTGTGTCCGGTTTGCCAGTCATTACAGTCATGTTAAAGTTCACAAAGATGGTACGATTTATAAAAGGTACTAGGAAGAACAGGAAGGCATAATTTGAATTTAATATTGTGCAAAGATATTTCCAAATTGCATACTCTTGGGGTCATTCATGGTCAAGGTAGAAAGGGGTTATACAGGCCATCATGAGACTACACTGGCATTTCACAGCAATTCACATTAGTAAAATAGAAAATTGCTTTAAAAATTTTTTAATTCATGCATAATACTTGTACATATTTATAGGGTACGTGGGATATTTTGATACATTCATACAGGGCATAATGATCCAATCAGGGTATTTAGGATATCCATCATCTCAAACGTTTATCATTTCTTGGTGTCAGGAACATTCTAAATCTTTTGTTTCAGTTATTCTGAAATATACAATTATTCTTTATTCTAGTCACCCTACTGTGCTCTATCAAACGCTGGAACTTATTCTATTTAGTTTATGTTTGTTTGTACCCATTAATGAACATCTCTTCATCCTCCCCTCTACCCACTCCCTTCCCAGCCTCTGGTAACCATCATTCTACTGTGGACCTCCATGAGATCAACCTTTTTAACTCCCACATATGAGTGAGAACATGTGATGTTTGTCTTTCTTTGCTTAGCTTATTTCACTGAACATAATGACCTCAGTTCCATGCATGTTGCTGCAAATGACAGGATTTTATACTTTTTTTAAGCCTGTATTTATGTAAGCCCTTCAACCCTTATATTGGTCATTACCTGAAAAAGCCATAATGTAATCCATCCATGATTTGTTTTGTGTGGTGTGGAATGATTCCAGCAGGGGAGCAGGCCTGTGTGTAGCCGGATGATACATATGTAAGAGGATGGGAATTTCAAGGTCTCTGCTCTTTAACACTGCTCTGCGTACAGAATACGCTAAATCAATCCAACTGCCTGTCCTGTTTTTCCCCATTCAGATTGATGACACTTTGTAAACACAAGCCACAATTAGGACACAGCTTGACAAATTAGAGCCCCAGACACAGTAGAGAACTCTTTTGACTTCTGAAGCAGCCACTCATCTGATACACAATCAACACCAAATTTTGAAATGCACAGACTCAAAACTAAAAAGAAACTAAAGTCACTTGGCAACCACTGGGTCATACTTCCTAATCAGCAGATAATTAGTATGGTCGGTTCAACATTGCATTTCCAAAATACTGGTTACTCTGGGATCCTTGCAGAATGCACTCTACTACAGCTATAGTGATTGAAGTTTGTCGGGTTATTTAACAGCATGTTGCAACACTCTGGTTACTTCTTATTTTAAAATTAAGCATTTAAACATTTCTTCATGATAAACTCCCCTAGTTAGGTACAATTTGGGAGTTAGCTGTTTATTTCAAATGAAGAATATTTCAAGTCTTCATCGTAGTCACTTAGCATTTAGCCTGTCAATGCCAGCACCCAGAGAAACAGTCTAGTAGCTATTGTTCTTACTTTAGGAGAAAGTTAGGCACAAGACATGGAACAGCCAGGGACACATGTCAGCACTGCAGCATGAGACTCCAGTAAGTAAGGACAAGATCATCAAGCTGAGACTTGGATAGAACACACTGTGCTCCAGGCATTGTTTTGAACTATCCCCATTATGAAGATAGGAAACCTGAGGCATAGAAGATTAGATTTCTCATCTGTAAACCACATAATCAATAAGTGCAGAACCTGGATTTGAACCCCGGCAGTCTGGTCTAGAGTCTAGACTCTTAACCATGTTACTACATAGCCCTTCCATGAAGTTTCTATGCTGATTTATACATTTATACCACACTACTGTCTGTTACCTGGCTTAGAAAACAGTAGAAACTAAGAACATGTTCTGATTCATTAATTACTATTTTTAAACATTGAAATGTTAATCCTTTGTATGATTAAATTGTATTGCCTTGTTTCTTAAATTCCCAGGGCAAGAATGAAAGAGTGAAAACATCAATTGATTCTATTAATATATTAATTTTATCATTTCTTTTTTTTAATTGTGGCATTTCTATTTTACTGCTTGGTAATAGGCAGTTTTTTAGGCCTGTGCTTTGTGTGTTGTTGATTACATGTATGAAATTATTTTATTTGGCTCTAGGTTTATTCTTATTTCTGCAACTATCTCAGGAACTCTGTCAAGACACTTGCTTTCTTTTTTGCCAAAGCAAAAATAAAGCTAAATAATAAGGATGCAATTGTGGGTAATTTCCAGACCCAGCCTATTTTGCATAACATCTGTATTCAATCAGGGACTACAAATTTAAGCAAACTGCTCTAATCATATTTTGTAAATTCAGTTTGTCTTGATTATTTAAAAGAGGGTATCAAGATTGGTAGATTTAAATATAGGTTAAATCTATTTTATAGCCATTCATCCATCTACATTTTGTAATAACAATGATGGAGAAAGATTAGCTCTAACAGAAAAGTTACAAAAAAATAAATAGTGGTGTACCTCAGAGATATTGTGGGTTCAGTTCTAGACCACTGCAATGAAGTAAACGTTGCAATAAAGTGAATATCACAAGGCAAGCCACACAAATTTTTGGTTTCCCAGTGCATATAAAAGTTGTTTAAACTATACTACAGGAAGTGTGCAATAACATTGTATCTTAAACAGTGTGTGTACTTTAATAAAAATACATTATTGTCAGAAAATGCTAATGATCATCTGAGGTTTCAGCGAGTCGTATTTCTTTTTGCTGGAGGCAAGACCCTCCACTGGCAAAAACATTATGACCCTCTGAAGACTGACTCATCAGTGTGGTGGTTGCTGAAGGTTGGAGTGGCCGTGGCAATTTCTCGAAATAAGACAACAGTGAGGGTTGCTGCGTCCATGGAGACTGCCTTTCATGAAAGATTTCTCTGTAGCATGCAGTGCTGTTTGATAGCATTTTACCCACTATAGAACTTCTTTTGAAATTGGAGTCAATCCTCTGATACAGCTTTATCCACTAAGTTTGTGTAATCTTCTAAATCCTTTGTTGTCATTTCAGCAATGTAAACAGCAGCTTCACCAGGAGTACATTCCATCTCAAACTGCTTCTTTAATTCATCCATAAGAAGCCATTCTGGCTGGGCGCGGTGGCTCACGCCTGTAATCCCAGCACTTTGGGAGGCCGAGGCAGGCAGATCACCAGAGGTCGGGAGGTTGAGACCAGCCTGACCAACATGGAGAAACCCTGTCTCTACTGAAAATACAAAAATTAGCCAGGCGTGGTGGCACATGCCAGAGGCTGAGGCAGGAGAATCGCTTGAACTTGGGCGGCGGAGGTTGCGGTGAGCCAAGATCGCACCATTGCACTCCAGCCTGGGCAACAAGAGCGAAACTCCGTCTCAAAGAAAAAAGAAAAAAAAAAAAAACCATTCCTTGGGTGCTAAGCTATGAGGATGCAAAGGCATAAGAATGATATAACAGACTTGGGGACTCGGGGGAAGGTTGATGGGTGACAAGGGATAAAAGACCACACACTGGGTACAGTGTACGCTGCTCAGGTGACAGGTGCACCAAAATCTCAGAAATCGCCATTAAGGAACTTTTCCGTGCAACCAAACACCACCTGTTTCCCAAAAACTGCTGAAATTTTTAAAAAAGAAAAAAGAAATGACTTCATCTGTCCAAGTTAACATTTTTTAAAAGAGTTGCTTCTTTGCTCATAAAATAAACAAAGTAGGATATTGTTTAAGAGTGTGGTGTGGGAGTCTGAAATTGTAGCCATTCGGTCACATCTTCAGGCCCCACTTTTAACTCTAGTTCTCTTGCTATTTCTACCACATCTACAGTTACTTCCTCCACTGAACTCTTGAGTCATCCATGAGGGTTGGAACCAACTTCCAAACTCCAGTTAATGTTGATATTTTGATCTTTTCTCATGAATTATGTATGTTCTTAATGGCATCTAGAATGGTGAATCCTTCTCAGAAGGTTTTCAATTAATTTTGCTCAGATCCATCAGAATTTATCTATGGCAGCCATAGCCTCATGAAATGTATTCTCCAATTCCCTGATGCCAAGAACGTGTCCAACAATTCAATTAAATTCTAATGCTAGCTATGCAGTTAGCACAGATGCCACAGCTCAAGGGCTCTGTCCCTCAAGACTGCTAGCACTTCAGATGCCAGCTCCAAATGGGATCCCCAAGCTACCCACACTTTTGTCTGTCTAACTAGAACTTGGGAAATTCCCATGATCCTGTCTCCAGTTCAGTAATTGGTGAGAACGCCTTGCAGAACTTAGGAAGGCATTTCACTTATGATTACCAGTTTTTGATAAAGGATGCAACTCGGGCAGCCAGATGGAAGAAATGGATAGGGTAAGGTATCAGGGGGAACCCTGAGTTTCCATGTCCTCTCCAGGCACTCCATCCTCCCAGCACATGGATGTATTCACCAACCTGACAGCTCTCCAAACCCTGCCCTGTAGGGAGTTTTATTGAGGTTTCATTCCATAGGCATGAGGGATCAAATCATTGGCCACTGGTGATTGTGCTCACTCTCCAGGCCTCTCTCCCCTTTCTAGAAGTTGGAGGTTGGGGCTGAAATTTCTAACCCTGTTTCTGGTGAGGAGCTAAAAACCTGAAACTCTCTAGGGGGTTCTGCCATATGTCATCTCATTAACATAAACCAAGGCATGGTCAAAGGAGGTTTATTATGAATAAAAAAAGATACTCCAGTCACTTAAAAAATACCAAAGGTTTTAGGAGCTCTGTGTCAGGAAGCAGGGCAAAGACCAGATAATTAATTTTTTATTATACAACACATAGGCAGACTAATATGTATATTATATGCTGTGTATTGATAAATTAGATGGTCATTTAAATAGCCCAGACTAGTTTATGACTTCTAAACTAATCCTTAACTGCAAACAGCACCACTGTTTGGTAAATATGAAACTATAATATTTGCCACACATTCTGTCATTCTAGCTTATGTCTACTTAACATTTTTTAAAAGAGCTGCTTCTTTGCTCTTAAAATAAACAAAGTAAGGTGTTGTTTAAGAGTGTGGCATGGTAGTCCCTCAGGCCTGGACTTGAGTTTCAACCATGGTATGTGACCTTGGGTTAGGTACATAACCTCTCTAAGCTTGCGTTTCTCGTTGGCAAAGTGAGAATAATACCTGCGTGACAGGCTGTTGTTTGGTGAGGCTCTCTAGTGAAACTCTTAGCACAGGCCAGGCGCAGTGGCTCACGCTTGTAATCCCAGCACTTTCGGAGGCCGAGACAGGCAGACCACTTGAGCCCAGGTGTTCGAGACTAGCCTAGGCAACACAGGGAGGCCTCACCTCATCTCTACAAAAAATAAAATAACTAACGGGGCGTGGTGGCAGGCGCTTGTAGTCCCAGCTACTCGGGAGGCTGAGGCAGAGGGATCGCTTGAGCCTAAGAGGTCAAGGCTGCAGAGCCGTGATTGCACCACGTGCGCTCCAGCCTCTATGACCGGGGAGTCATACAGAGGGAGACCCTGACTCAAGAAAAACAAAAAAGAAACTCTTAGCACAGTACAAAGTTCATGGAAGCTCTTGCTTTAGGAAAACACTTGTGTTTGTGTAACTGCCAAGTGTCATGGAACACTGTCATGCCTATTCTATGTCACTCAGTTTTTCCCTCAAGCATTTTCAGGAGCTCCTTTTCCATTGGCTCCTTTGACTTAACATACAAAATTATGGCTTTTGTTTTGTTTTCTTTTTTTATTTTTTTTTTGGACAGAGTTTCCCTCTTGTCACCCAGGCTGGAGTGCAGTGGCATGATCTCAGCTCACTGAAACCTCTGCCTCCCGAGTTCAAGCGATTCTCCTGCCTCAGCCTCCCAAGTAGCTGGGATTACAGGCATGCGCCACCATGCCCAGCTGATTGTTTTGTATTCTTGGTAGAGATGGCATTTCACCATGTTGGCCAGGCTGGTCTCGAACTCCTGATCTCAGGTGATCTGCCCGCCTCGGCCTCCCAAGGTGCTGGGATTACATGCATGAGCCACCGTGCCCAGGCTTCTGTTTTCTTTAAAAAAAAGACAGAGTAAGGGAGGGAAAGAGGAGGAAGGGAAAGATTACCTAGATATTAGTCTTTTTCATTTCTAGTCCATTTGCACACCCGTTTGCCATTGAATTCTTTTTTTTTTCTTTTTTTTTTGAAATGGAGTTTCATTCTTGTTGCCCAGGCTGGAGTGCAATGGCGCAATCTTGGCTCACCGCAACCTCTGCCTACCGGGTTCAAGCGATTCTCCTGCCTCATCCTCCTGTGTAGCTGGGATTACTGGCATGTGCCACCGCGCCCGGCTAATTTTGTATTTTTAGTAGAGACAGGGTTTCTCCATGTTGGTCAGGCTGGTCTTGAACTCCCAACCTCAGGTGATCTGCCTCCTTCAGCCTCCCAAACTTCTGGGATTACAGGCGTGAGCCACCATGCCCAGCCGCCACTGAATTCTTATATGACACTATCTTGTATGTTATTCATCTGAAGCGAAATCTTCCACTTTCAAGAGAGAAAAATCTCAAAACATCGATTGCATCATCAAGGACATTGTACCTTCTGGGATGTACCCCCTTAGCATGAACTCCTTCTTCCCATTAAGGTAGTCATGCACTCAACCAATCATCTCCTCTTCCTTTTTGCACATACGTCTTTCTTCACTCATATACCTGGCTGCCTCTCCACGCCTGCACAAAAGCTGTATCTTAGGACACCCAGCCCAAATCTCACACCATTCACTGGAAGGAATTTTTCTCTCTTCTGACCTCTCGAAGTAATCATATTTCCATGATTTCTTTACTGTTTAGTTGTCTGCTGCCTTCCAACTCTTCTTCTGTTTGCAGAATTGGGTGTTCTTAATCTTATGTTGTTGTTGTTTAACCTTTCTGAGACTATTGTATACTTCCCCAATTGGACTGTTGTCTTTTTTTAAGATCAGAGGCTATGTCTTAGTTTTTCTTTAGTATTACCTAAATTGATTGGCAGGTGCATTTTAATCAGTTCCTTCCTGTTCATGTATTTTTTTAAAATCACAATGGTAGAGTGCTTCATAAGCAACCAGAACAATGATGTAGTGATTCATACCAAAAATAACCAAAATAACAACCAGATGTGCTTTAATTTGGCTATTTTGTTAATATAGTAATAACCAATATGTGTTTCTGCAGGGTAAACTCTGTACCCTCTTTGGCTTGTCCTGCATGAAGCAGTGGAAACCAAACACCAGTGGCTGGAAGTGGGGCAGAGGGGAGAACAGTGAATTTGAATGTGACTACTATAAATGATGTTGGTCAAATGTGAGAGTCCCGGTGCATTTTGAAAGTGCTTGTATGGTGGGTGCATTGCTATTTGTCCAATCCTATTGGTGGGCTGGCATGTGATACTTCATAAGCTTCTTGCCAATCTCCACAAGTACCTTTAGCCTTGTGGGTACTGATTTATGTGTTTGGCAGCTCTTACACTCAGATGCCAAGGCCTGAAATAAAGTGTCTCTGTATAAGCTGGTAGGTCAGGTCCTGGCTTCTTTGCCTTGAAGTTCTCCAAGCTTCTTGGCTGTCAGTATTGGCAGTGAGGAAACTGCTACTACAGCTGTTTACGGATCAGACCGCTCTGTGATTCAGTACTGAATCCATCTCTTGGATACCATTCCTTTTGATTTATTTGGTGTCCACTTAAAGAAAAACAAACTGAGACTTAAATACACACACACCTACATAAATCCATTTCTTTTTAACACATTATTTTAAATAATAATAATAGTCACATTTAATTTATAGATTGAAAGTTTTCTAGCATTTGAAATTTTATTGGAAGTGAAATGTAAGCTACATTTTTTCCTTAGAGATGGCTTATCATCTTTAGAATCTAGTTTATGCCACTTTCATTATGCCTGTGAACCAAACGACGTAAAATTTTGTTCTATTCAAAGGAAAAGTGGTACAGCTTAGTGAGCTATAACACCTTCTTGAGAGAATGCTAAATTGTAATAGGTCCAATTTGAGGTGACAGAATGTCTGTATTATATACTTTAACTTTGCCTCTTTTTATAGCCTAAATGAGGCATCTCAAAATTAATGCAGCCAGAGATAGCAAAGGCATTTGAAGTAATTCCTCAACTACTTATTACTTTTTCTCAACAGAGCTCACCAAATAAATGGTGTTACCAGTGGGACTAATAGCATAACTACCAATCAGAATGTCTGCCAGTTCATGAAGTGTCTCCAACTCAATCCACTCTAACAACTAAATAAAGTAGTTCAGTTCATGTAATAAAGAACTAGAACCTTAATGTACCATTTACTGAACACTGAAAAATAATATATTTATATCCATGAAAAGGAAAGTGGAAAATTGAAGCAATTATCAGGATATCTCAGGTCAAAGCAAAATTTGGGATCTGTATAACCTAGATAAATGTCAGTTCCATGATATAGGTTGTATTTCTCTGTACACATAATCTAAATTTCCCCAAAACTTACCATAGCATTATTTTATCAACCTTTGAAAATGCCTTCATCTCTTTTTCTTTTACTCTTTTCTTTCTACCACTCTTCAGCATTCCATTTATTAGTAATTCTGTACTCAGTTCATGCAGAAAACCATGAAAATAAAGGTGGAATTAATCAGTTTTTACTTTGAAAAAAGAGTGATAGGCCGGGCACAGTGGCTCATGCCTGTAATCCTAACACTTTGGGAGGCCGAGGTGGGTGGATCACCTGAGGTCAGGAGTTCGAGCCCAGCCTGGCCAATATGGCAAAAGCCTGTCTCTACTAAAAATACAAAAATTAGCCAGGCATGGTGGCACATACCTGTAATCCCAGCTACTCAGGAGGCCCAGGCAGGAGAATCACCTGAACCCAGGAGGCAGAGGTTGCAGTGAGCTGAGATCGTGCCATTGTAATCCAGCCTGGGCTACAGAGCAAGACTCCATCTTAAAAAAAAAAAAAAAAAAAGAATGCGAGAGAAGGTACATATATATGCACACACAGACACACACACATATACTTTATATTTGTAAACATGTATAGATTGTTATTGATAATAACTGTTGAATGAAAAACCCTATCACAAAATAAAATACAGAAAAAATAATTTCTAATAGATCTGTATTGCTTATATTATTATCCCAGCAAAGCCCTGGCACTTGAAAATTATTTTATTTTGAAATAACTTGAGAATGTAAAAGTTGCAAAATTATTATAGAGAATTCACATATACCTTTCACCCAATTTTTCTAATGTTAATATCTTACATCCTCATAGTATAATTATTCAAACCGATAAATTATCGTTGCTCGAACAATTAACAAAACTACTGACCTCATTTGGATTTCACCAGTTTTCCCACTGTGTCCACTAATTTCTGTGGTGGTGAGGAAGTGACGGATGGATCTGCCCTGACATTCTGGCTTGGGATGGTTCCAGGTGTGGGCCGATGCAGGTCCAAAGAACCCACATCTCCTGTAGGGCCAAAGCTTTTCTTTAAGGTACATCATTTTTCAGTCACCTTCTCTTACATTTTGTACTGTATCTTTTTAATGTATAATCTATATATATATATATATAGATGTGTGTGTGTGTGTGTGTATATATATATAGTTTGTATATGTATATGTATACACACACATATATTGACTTACTTATTTTTCCAAATTATTGCAGCAACACATCTTTAGGTAAAATAAGACTACTATTGTGAGTTCTCATCATCTCTTTTTATTTATACAACAGTATGTAATGTGTGCCTACTTTGTATTGGACATACGGCCTGGTACTAGGCATAAAGTGGTGAGCTAGGGAGAAATAGTTCTTACTTTTTATCAAATAATCACTCTCCATATAATTATAAGCCTTCTAAGTGCTATGAAGGGCAATGCAGGGAATGATGAGAATCTGTAAGGTGGAGACATGATCCAGTTTGGTGAGTTGGAGGGAGAGAAGTGACATTTGAACTGCGGAGCTGAGGAAGGGGTAGGAGTAAACTAGGTGGGGCTGGTAAGGGGGGCTGTGAATAAAAGGACCAGCATATGCACAGACACTGAGCTGAGAGCAAGAAACAGAAAACAGAAGGGGATGTTGTAGCATCATGAAGCTTGGAGAGGTGAGTGGCTGGCTGATAGGCATTCGGGCCGTGTTGAGATTTGGGTCAACTTCAAAAGCAATGGAAAGCCATTAAAGGGACAGTGGAGCTGAAAAATATCACTATGCTATAGTGCAGCCAAGGGATTAGGGGAGGTCTTAAAAAAGAGGAATGGGTTAAAATAGGTGAGTAACTGTGGAAATGGAACACAGATATAATGGACATAGTGTCATAGCCATCCCTGTTTGTGGATATGGAAAGAGTTCAGACCAGGGTAACTCCTGGGTTTCTGGGTTGTTTAACAGAATTGATACTGGTGTTAATGACTGCTCAAAGCAACACTGAAGGAAAAGCAGATTGTTTTTTGCCTTTCTGACATCGAAGAAAGGGTGGAGACACTCTTTTCTGTCCTGACGTTGGTCATGAGATCATATGAGCCTGAAATGAGTCATGAAACTCCAACCTTCCATCCAGTGAGATCCCTGGTATTCTCTGAATGAGTGGGAAGAGAGGTTTAAAGTCAATCGAGAAGATGTCCTGTTCTCTGGGGTCCTGGCCCTGGTCTGGTGGTCTTCTCACTTAAATTCTGCCTCCATGAAGCTCAGGGCTCACCTATGATTTATATGCTAAGGATACTCAGGTCTCTAGCTCTTCTCAGAATTGTCTGCTGAACCCCAGATGTGTATGTGCATCTGACAGTTAAAAACTTGTATTCTTTTTTAATCCAGAAACATGATCCTCCTCCTTTATTCCCTATACTGGCTTCTTTGATTACCCACATCAGAACCCTGGATGTCATCCAAAAATTGTTACCTTACTTCTGCCTCACTTACCCCCACCTCACATGTACTTAGACCAGATCCTGCAGATACGCCTAATCTGTGTCCATCTTCTTCTCACTCCTCCCTCGACCCACCGTCATTCCTGCTGTGTCCATCTGAATCCCGCTTTGTGACATTATTGCAGGTGTCCTCCCATGGCCTCCTGTGCCTTGCATTCCCCTCAGACCACCCTCTGTACTGCTGCCAAGGTGATTTTTCTGGTATACAAATCCGACTGTGCCAGTTCCAATCTTGAAATCCTTTGATGGCTGTCCTTTAATTCTGTTTGAGTTAACCATTTACCACAACACACGACACCTGTAATCTCCTGCCCCTCCAGGCTCGCTAAACCTTTCCCTCTGGTTGTCTACACCAATTTGTGGTTTTGCTATTGGACACATTCCTACCCTTTGGTGCTTTTTCATATCTCCAGAATTCCCCTTTCCTTTTCCACATCTGAGAAATGTATCCTTTAAAGTGTACCTCCTTCATTGTCCTACGGAAACTCCCAGGTTCACTCCAAAGCTTAATTCAGATGCACCATGGCCGTTTATCTGCCACTGCAGCTGTTTATCACATGGCACCATCATGGTCAATTATTTGTCTAAGCTCACCTTGCAGTGCTGGCTTCTTCAAGTCAGGAACTGTGTTTGAATCCTTGTAGCATCCCCTCCCCTCACACACTTCATAGCACATAGGAGCCTGGAACACACTTAAGAACTTAGAACAGTGCCTGGCACAGTAGAGATTCAACTAATATTTGAATTAATGAGTAAGTAATAGGTGCACAATAAATGTTGGTTAAGTAAAAGATAGACAGGTTGTATATATGGCTCTGAGCAATAGAAGAAAGGCTGATGTGGCTGCACAGCTCTGTGACCCAGTTCCCGACTCCTTAGACATTTATGTATTGATATGTGCATCTTAATCCCATCTTAACATCAAGCTTGTCTCCCGCAAATACTTGCAAGAATCTCTCCCCTCTGGCCATGCCATATTATTCACTTCATACCTTGTATTCACTTTCATACTTAGGTGAGTAACTTAGCTCCTCTTCTTGGAGTGCTTTCCTACCATTGTTCAATTTTGCCTATGAAAATTGTACCTATTCTTTTTGTCCTAGCCTAAAAGTCTCTTCCTCCTGGAAACCTTCTCTGGTATTTCACAGTTTGAATTCATTCTAACCCTGTTTTAACTTTTATGAAATTTGAAATCTCTTATAATTTTCCTATCTTATTTTGTAATAGTTACTACCTGTTTATCTCAACTGGACTGTAAGCTGCCTGAGGGCAGGGATCCTATTTTGCTTACAATGCAAGACCTCGCATATAGTAACTGTTGAGTGAAGTTTGTTGGATTGAATTAATAATGTTCAATTACTGATGCTTTAGGTGCTCTGGAGGTTTTCAGTAAATTCACTGAGATTGCTCAGATTTCTAAACATAAAACATTTTTATATTTTTCTATACTCATTGTTTAGCAAATGTTTATGCATCTATGCTACATGTTTATTATATGTGAACAATGTGTTATGATAAGCTCTGAGGATGCAATAGTTTATTAGACAGACATGGTCATTGCATCCATCCTGGAAGTTGTAGTTTAGTAGGAAAATCAGGCCAATAATACAACAGCTATTTATTGAGTGCCTACTTTAGTACCAGGTACTGGAGATATGACAGTAAGCAAAAAGAGAAAAGTTCCCTTGTCCCCTGGAATATGCTGTCTAGTTGGAGAGACAGGTTACATAAACTAAACATACTAACAAATATAATCTTGAGTTAACCCATGCTAAGTACCCCGTGCCATGAGAACTAAGAGCAAGTTCACCAAGACCTGGAGGTTAGGGAGGGCATCTTACAGTTGAGCATCAGCTAATCACCTTAGCAGGGAGAGAGGAGAACATCTAGTGTCACTGCCCCAGAGAGAGCAAGTGGGGATGGTGGGAGATAGGGCCAGGATTAATTAATACATTATAATTGCACACCAAATGCTCTTTTTAGAATTCCTCATTCTGTTGGTGTATATCAGAAATTAATGTTTCCTTCAAAATGTAATATTTTTAGCACAGTTTAACTTCTCTCTTTCAGTGTCTATGACATTAGAATAAGAGTTATAGTAAGCAGTTAAAAAAAATTTCACATATTGGCTGGGCATGGTGGTTCACGCCTGTAATCCCAGCACTTTGGGAGGCTGAGGCAGGAGGATCATTTGAGTTCAGGAGTTGGAGACCATCCTGGCCAACATGGTGAAACGCCATCTCTACTAAAAATACAAAAATTAGCCATTACAGGTGGCGCATGCCTGTAATCCCAGCTACTCAGGAGGCTGAGGCAGGAGAATTGCTTGAGCCAGGGAGGCAGAGGTTTCAGTGAGCCAAGATGGCACCACTGCACTCCAGCCTGGGTGACAGAGGAAGACTCCATCTCAAAAAAAAAAAAAAAGTTCACATATTAATTGTATATAATATTTAAGTTCAGCCCACTTTTCTAAAAGTAACATAAATGGCTTTTCATGAGAGAAATTTTAGTATAAAGGCAGATGGAGAACCTTTTAAAAATATATGGCATTTCTAATAGTCATTTAATCACTGGCCTGAGGAAAACCTGAGAATAAAATAGGCCCACTGAATTTAAACACTGGTCACACTCATATTTTTATTTGGTCATGGGTAGTGTGTTTATATTAAAATAACATCTAGAGTAACCTAAATCATCAGGAGAACTTGTATTCAGTACAACCGAGTGTAAGAAGAAAGCAATACCAAGAATTATTTTTAAATTATCTTTTATATAATTCTGCATAGGAAAATTCTGATATTTAGTAATTGTGGAGTTATTTTAGGTTAATCTTTTCTTCAGCAAATGTAGTAAACTGAGTTGTTAAAGTATGTATTATGTTTAATGCTTTGCACAATGTATAGATAATCATTTAATCATTAACCTAATTAAAATATAGGTTAATGATTATATAACCTAAATGGTTTTAGAAAAAGAACGTATTTGTACATAATAATTTCTTATAATCTTGGTATAAAATATCTAGTCTTGCTAGATGAGTAATGTCCTACAAGAAAGATTTCATTGGTCTGTGGAATAATCATTTATTCTCATTCTTCTCAGTATGAAACAGCCTCTCTAATTTATGGGGTGTGAGCACAAGTGGACTCACATGTTATTCTAAGGGTTTTTGGCCTGAGCAACTGAGTGAATAATTCCAACATTTTTGAAATTGAGAAGATACCAGAAGGAACATCTTTTTTTTTGTTTGTTTCTTTCAGAGAAAGGTTGATATTAAGAAACCTGGGTCTGGTTTTCAGAGAAGATCTAAGGCTGGAGGTAGACATTTGGGAGTCGTGATGATGTGGATGGGAAGGTCATGATGGTAGCTCAGTTGGAGCCTCTTTTAGCTACAGAGTGAGTTTAAATAGTGGAGAGGAAAGGTTATAGGACAGTGACAACTAGCCCATGCCAACATTTAGAGTTTGAAAGAATGAGAGGAGGAGGTTCAAGCAAAGGAGAAAGAAAGGAGGAAAGCCAGAAGAATGTCTTGGCTGCTGAGTAAAGAAGCTGTTCAAGAATGGAGTGATAATTTATGTCAGTTGCTGCTGAGAAGTTGAGGACTAAGAATTCACCATTAGATTTGAAAACATGGAGACTATTGATGGCTGTGATGAGGGCAGTTTCATCAGAGCGGTGTGGATACCAACTACATTGGATTCTAGAGAAAATGGAATGTGAGGAAGCATGGCTATAGCTAGAATTAATTTCTGCCCTCTAAAATTTACATGTGTTGTACATTATGTATTTAAATAGCAATGCTAATATAACAAGGAACATTCATAAACAATTAAAGAGATAAAGTATATTATTATGACTGTGCTTCTTATAAGTACCCACATGCTTCATATTTAGTCCAAGAAAACCATTACTTCCACTTTATATCTACTTATATTATAAAATGTTCAATTGGGCTTAAATACATGGAAAATTTCCTATTTAAGACCCTGGTGCTAATTCATCTTATTACATCCTCTGGGCTGGGTGGAGGGAATATATATAAGTATCAGATGATAATCTTATATCATCCATGATGTAAGACAGGTCAGACAGGTCAGACGTACCTGTGTTTAAATCCTGACTTTTCTCTTTACTACCTACGTGACCCCAGCAAGTTACCTAATCTTCTAAGCCTATTTTCTCAAAGATAAAATGTGGACAGTAATGACATGAGGATAAATTAAGATAATATGTCTTAATTATTTAGCATGATACCAAGCAAATAGTAAGGGCTCTGTAAATGGGTGCAAATTTGCATTGCCGTGATTACTGTCTTGTTCTTGAATGGGTCATAACTTAAATACTGTGCAGTTTAGTACACAGAAGATAGGTCTTCTAATAAAGAGCAGAAAAAAATGAGCTGCCTGAGAGTAAGCCATACCTTATAAGCCATAGTTTTTGGTTTGTATTATTCTGCCCATGTTTATTTCTTGGTTTGTTTTCTCGCCTTTAGTAAAGTTGTATAAGCACAGTAGGTAAGACTGCAGGCTCTGTAGAGCATATTTGTAATCTTAATCCCCTGGAATTACCTGGATAGTCCAGCTCTATCCTCTGACTTCCCATCCTTTCATGTCTAATCAGCACTGCTAGTGACAATAGCTAACATGTATTGACTGCTTCCTAAGTACTGAGCACCATTCTAAAGATTTTATAGCTGTTAACTGATTTAAACCTCGCAGCCCTAGGTAATAGGCCCCATTATTACCTCCATTTGCCCTGATGAGGAAACTGAGGCACAGAGAGGTTAAATAACTTGCCCAAAGATGACACCGTTGGTAAACGGTGAAGCTGGGATTCAGTCAGGCAGGCTGGTCACACAATTTTCACTCTTAACCACTTCATCCTAATTCCATTTGGGATGATAAGATTGCATTAAGTTATCACAGCTTTTCTGTGGTGCAGATAGTAAAGTGGGACCAGTATCCTTCCCCCAGCAATTCATGAGTGCTGATGATTTGTGTTGGGAATCAAGATGTTGCATCCCACCTCCAGTCACCAGGGGGTGCCACTCAGGTAGGTTTATGAAAACATTGAAAACCAGAGTGATGGTATTCTCTTGATTAACTATAAATGGCAGTCATTAAGATGCAAGGTTTTGAGAGTCAGGTTCTTTGGTGCTTATACCCAAAGAAGAAAGAGCCGTTTTTGTATTAAGTCATCTAAAAAGTTCTCATATGCTTAGCAAGAAAGCTAAATTAAGCTCTGCACTGGGTAAAATTATAAACATGCTCTCTGCTCCAGATGAGTAAGTGTATATAAATAGAACAGTTGGTACACATGGCCCTAATGGTATAGCTTCCCTGTTTTCTATGTAATGTAAATCACCAAATGTGAGCATTTCTACCTGACAAACTGTCAGTCTCAGAAGAGCACATTCAATACATGTTACACAACAACCAAGATTGCCCTTTTGTTCAGCGTGGTGTTTTTTCTTTCCACATCCAGCAGTTAGTACTAAGGCCTGAACCCCTTAGTTACAGAACAAAGTGGCTTAGCAGTAATCGAGCCTGTGTGAGGCTAAGGGAAGAATAATGAACATTCCCTGCAAGCTTCCTGCCTAGATGCAGGTGCAAGAATCAGGAGGTCATGAATAATGCATGACATGCAGATTAGGTGGTGGTTTCTCCTACAGAGGTTTTGACGTTGCTACCTGCCTGGCTTCTATATGTGGAAAGAAGGCAGAAGATGGCAAAAAGTGTCACAGGTTAAAGACTGAGCTCAAAAAAACATGCCATATCCTTTTGAAGAAATAATATATAGGGGGTTGGTGAAGTGCAAGGCTTATGGTCTACTTTATCAGATGAAGTATGTGCCAAGTTATCAGTGTACTTATTCCCTTTGAGGACAGAAATAAAGCTTTGTTGATTTACCTTTTTAATTTAGGAAACCTTGTAATTATTTGTTCATATACACAATCAGGACTTCTTTTCCAAAGACTTTCCTAAGGAATTCTTTTCCTGAGACTGCTAAACCATTATAGAAATTCTCCATTTGCAGTATTTGATCTATGGATCAGTGAAATTTTCCTAAAAGATACAAATACCTAGACAATGTTGTAATTATGGATTAAACAGACTCTCTTTTTCTTCACTAATATATGCAATAAACAGCATCAATAAGAGAATACTTCTGTCATTAAACTTCACCCAGTGGAATTTTCATGATGAAATAGTTTCTTTGTACTCCTAGGGTTAAGGAGGGGACAATATAAAAAGTAAATGTGTAAAAGATAGAGAACAAATTAAAGAACTGTGAGTATTTGGGGCTGATTAAACTTTATTTAAATAGTTAGGATTCTGATACCCCAGTGAGGGTATAGGGAAAGTTCAGGAGAATTTCCTGCACTTCCTCTTAGGTCAGGGGGCTTTAACTGGGGAGAACTTTTTTGGCTCAAATATCCATTTTAAGGATTGTATTTCAAGCAGACAGAAAGTAAAAAAGTAAAAGAATAAAAGAGGAAAAAATTACGCTTGCTGCCTTTCGTATAATTTTTATGTACTATTATTGCGTTTTCCCCCTCTTTGTCCAATTTAGGATACTGGATTATGAACTGGCTTTCATTTCTAGCTGAGTCTGTCATTTCCACTAGGCCCCAGTTTGGCTGGACGCCGAGACCAACAGGTGATCCTTGTAGCTGCAAAACAGCAGGAAGTGGGCCGTGCTTGAATGAGACAGTTCACCAGAGGGGCTGTCTGGCCTCTCTCCATCTTTCTGCATAATTAACACCCCCTCCCCCATGCCGAGCAGAAAATCTGTGCTGAGCAGCTCAGCTGCAGCAGCCATTGAGAAGCGCTGTGAGGAAAAGAATGTTAATAAGGGATGTTGGAAGAAATAAGCCTTCCGAGTGCAAAGTGCAGTCTGGCTCTGGGTTTAGGGAAAGACTGCAGTTGGCCCTTAGGCGGGGCTGGAACTGCATTATCTGTTTTGGAATGATTTTCACTTATTAAACAACTACAGAGAACTGGGTTTCTTACAAACCTTGGTTCTAACTGGACTTTAAGACCAGTTTTATATCCCCATTTTTTTTCTTGTAAATAAGAGCAATGTATGAAGCATAAAGGGTGAAGGTAATACAAGCTAAGACTGCTTGGATCTCACAAATCCTGGCTAAAGACAGACCATAACAGGAAGCTGGCAGCCGGAAGTAGGGCGTATTGTTTTGCCGGTTAGTGACCCACAAAGAGGCGGAGGTTTACTAGCTAGGCTTTGATTAGAAGATAACAGCAGTTCCCGGAAGCTTTAAGCTGTTTCCAGTGGATAAGTCCAATCCTGGAAGCTTGGAAAGCAATATATTCTTCACTTCTCCTTTATCTGGCTAAAATTTTGAATTGACTTTACTTTCTTCAAAGTCCAGTGTAGCACATCACTTCCAGAATGTACTCCTCCTAGGAGTACCTGTTCACCCTTCCTTCCTTCCCTGTGCCTGCAGATTCTGTCACAGCACATTTGAATAACGTTGTTTGCTTCCTAGAGTTTTAAATGTGGTAGAGTGAAGGAGAGGGCACTTAGACACCTCTTTGTGCCCACCCTCATGGGAACAGGTACAAAGAGGGCTCACTGAACTCAGGCACCATACCTTAGATAACTTTTACCCACCCTTGTACCTGGCAAGGGTTAGGTATTCAGTCACTTTTGTTGGACTGAATGAATGCATCAGTCCTGCCTCTGGGAGTCTTCAGAGTGAACATTATGACAGACCTGTTGTCTTGAGAGTGGTTAAGAAGGAAAAAAGGACCACAGATTTGCAGGCGTAGGAATTTAATTGCATCATTTACTAAGAGGGGTTCAAGTTCTGGGGATTTTGTATTAAGCAATTCTAAAAGAAATTATTTATAAAACATGCCATTTTTTTAAATTTGCAATTGGGAATATGCTTTTTCAATGACTGGATTATTCTTCTCTGTCTACAGGGTACATCCGTCCCCAGTATCAAGGGTCCGGGGCAATCGAATGAATAATCAAAAGTTTCCTTGGTGAGTATACAGTCTAATATGAGTATTTGTAGGTCTTACGGGAAACTTTAATAGGGCTTATGTTAAAATTAAGAGAATTAGTCCTACTTCTCTATACAGAGTACATACCTGCTAACTGGACTATGCGGTCTTCCTTTCCTCTGGACAGTTCGAAATAAATATTGATAGAGTTCCTTTCCAGCCCAAACTCTTCATTCACCAAAAACCCTGAGTGTAACTTTTTTTTTTGACAGATATGATCTAAGTTCCCAAGATTATAAACTCTTACCTATTTTAAAGAATGTTTTCCTTTTTTTCGAAGGTACATAGACCCAGATATTTCTCAGATACCAACTTCAACTCCTCATGAAGATTTCCACAGTTAATGAATCTGTTACATTAGTTTTGGGGATTACAACGAACTCAGTGATTTTTTTTTTCCTTGCCATAGCCTTAAATATCCAGGATTTTTTTTTTTTTTAATTTGGGGAGTACTAAGATCTTCTTTAACTGATGAGTTCTTGAACAAAAATATAGATGGAATTTTGCAGAAACAACCTGAAAAGTTATTTCAACCAGAAAACATAGCTTATCGATTCTTTAGAGAAGCGATTTAAAGTGTTTCACAAATATTTCATGCGAAACAACAAAAAAAGTGGGCTCAATATCTGTATTTGTTTATATTACTCCATTCCACAAAGTTAACCTTTTAACACATAATGTGTTATTAAGGAAAAAAAAGAAAAACTAAAAAGAAAAAAATGAACTGTGGCTGTATTACTTCAAAGATGAATGGAAATTCCATTTTTACTTCATTGAATTATAGTTAGAATGAGATTTTGATTAAAACTATGCCTTTTTTTAAGTATGGGAAGATGATCACCAAAGATTGAGCTTCCAAATTAATTTTATTCCTAAATCAAGATTATTTTTAGACACAAAATAATGACACTTTGAATTTGAATCATGCCTAATCATCTCACCTCCCTTCCCCCACGAAATCTAATTAATTCTCACAATAGCTTGGCGATGTTGTTAAATATTGTGCTTTTCTTTTTCACAGAGGGGGAAATGGGGCACAGAGGCGTTTGCTTACACCTTGCCTCAGAGCCGGGGCATCCTTCCTCGTCTCTTACCATTGCTAAAGCATGTTATCCCCTGTCCGGCCTGAAAAGCTAAGGGAGTAATAATATGATGATCATTATGTGAAAGGAAAGGGACAAATCAGGTCTGTTCTTGACTTATCACACGCCACAAGCTAATGGGTAGAGTACAGAGTTGTCAGGTATGAGATCCAGTTTCCATAACTTGGTTCTCAATGGCTAAATGTAAAACATGGAGTAAATAACAGAGTTTCTTTTCTTGACTTTTCCTCTCTGAAGTATTGAAGTAATGATGTTCCTGCATAATTCATAGCATGTTATTTGTTTAGTAAGTGTAAACCTCTTGTATCTCCAGAGAAGTAATCCATGGAAAACAAAAGTGATGTTTACTACTGGCCTTGAGAAAATTCAACTTTTATTTATTCAGCAACATTTATTTACAGTCCCAGGCACTGTAAGAAGCACTAGATTAGAAAGATAAATAAAACATGGTTTCTATCCTCAAGGGCCTACCTGTCTTGCAGGGCAGATGTGTATGTGTATGTGTGTGTGATGTCACATACACAGGCACATATACGATATCACACAAGCACATAATATACAATGTGGGTAAAGCTCTAAGGAGATATATTTATAATATAATGTTTAGAAGGAGAAGTTAGCAGCTTTATTTAAGACTAATTTGAGAGTTCATACTTGGGAGGGGGTGGAATATAAAGGAAGGAACAAGGCTGTCAGAAAATCCATCCCAAAGAAGAAAGCTTTTGAGCAAAGACCTAGAATTAGTAAGAAAAGCAGAGTTGAGCTAGTGTTTCCTTTATAGATTGATGCACGCATAGAAAGACCTGGAGATATTTCCAAATTGACTCTAGTAGGAGCATACATGGATTTAATACGTGTACGTTATTTGGTCATAAGCTAGCTAAGATTTCTATGATATATACTACCTTGAATCTTCCTTAGGTAAATACTGTGAGTCTAGTATATGGAAATAAATCACCTGGCTAGGAAGAAGCCCCATGAATCACCCAGCCTGTACTTCTAGTAAAGTGATAAACACTTGTTATTTCTTAGTGAAATATTGGCCCTGAAAATTCAGAAAGTTTAAAGACTCACGCTGGCAATGAAGAGGAAGGGAAAGTGATAGTTGCTGTCCCCCATCTATCAACTGGGTAATTTGTAGGATTACATGTCAAGTTCAACACTAGCTTGGCTCTGGCTTGGGTTCAACCCGCAAACACTGTATTTGAGAATTAGGAACAGTGATTTTTGTGAAGGTAGCTTAGCAAATACCCCAATCAATTAAAAAATTGTGTTCATCAAATAAGTAATTAAAGTTCAGGAAAAGAAGAAAAGCCTCCAACTTAACACTATTAAGGTATGTATAGGTAAGGTATGAAAATCAGTAGGTTGGGAAAGCCTATGGCTGTTGTTGAGTTCCCAAACCAGTGTTTATTATTGAGTTAAGATGGTTTAAACTTTTAACTAGCATTTTTCTTTGCATGATATTGTTACGAGAGGCAGCATCTGCTGGCCTTGTTCATCTGGGAACATTTCCTCTGGAGCTGAAGAAAAAGAATATCTGTATAAGGCAAACAAAATCCACTGGAATTGAAAGTGTGGTAATATTGTACATACCCAGGGAGGAAACGAGAGTGCCAGGGCCTAAGAGGCCCAACGACATATGTTGGAGTGGATTCAGGCTTGCTATAACTGCCTGCTAACTCCAAGGGATTAAAGAATGGCAATAAGAACTTCTTGCGGGTATATTAGCACCCCAATAACAAATACCAGATCATTGTACAACTCATTTAGTATTGAATTAATTAAAGGTAGCAAGCCAGGCCAGACATAAACTCTGTTCATCAGAAAGTTTGTCCCCTCAGTACCACCATGCACTAGGAACATTTACTGATTTGAAGATTGATGAAGCCTTTGGGGTTTGGTCGTGTGAATTTCATTCTCTATTTCATCAGACCGCTCCTCTTTACCTTCACCCTTGTCCCTAAATGGAAGTGAGCATGCCTTCCTTTCTCCAGTGACTGTGGTAGGGAAGTAAAAACCTCTTTTCCTTCTACCCATCTTAGGTTTATTGGCTGGGGCCCTGTAAATTAAACTGACAAAAGACAGATTAACAAAGAAAAATGAGCAGAAGTTTATTAACATGTGTATTTACATACACACATGGGCATGAGTAACCCAGAGGGGTGGTTAGAGCTTGGACCTTTAGAGCATCTTAGCAACAACAACAACAAAAAGACAGTTTTTTAGAGAAGTGAAAAAGACAGAGGAAAAGGATTTTGAGCTTCAAGGGCGTGCAATTGTAGGAAGGTAAATAAGCGGGAGAAACTAATGGGAAATAAGGGATAATGAGATGTGTTGTGCAGATTCCTCTGATGCCATCTCTGGGTTGATACAGGAGAGTTGTCTCCAGTGATTAAGAATTGCCTTGCCCTTCCTGGTAGAAAGAAGGAGAGCAGAGACTTTTTCTTGTGTCTCCTCCTTTTTCATTGCCTGTAGCTCATAATAATTCTTAGGCTGAAGTGGCAAATTTTGAAGTGGCATATTCTACTACCCTTCACATTATAAACCATTTTTAGAATATTTGCCACTCTTTCTTGCATACAGTAATGCCAGAAAAAATCTATTTTTCTGCATTTGAGCCAAATGTGGAAAATTCTTATTAGAGAGTTGAATGTGAAGATAGACTTTTATTCTTGGCAGATCTTTTTAATTGAAATGATTATATCCTAATATCAGACCCACAGGAGAGCAGCTGTTTCCAGGTCATATTCAGCTGTTTTATTCCTAAAGATATAACAGAAATCTTTAAGCTACATTTTGGTGTGTCTGTGTAGGCTGGCATAGGACAGGGTGGTGTTTAGTGGGAAATATCTGTGAACCAATTATTGCAGTTGACTTAAGGCTCCAGAAATTTCCAGAATCCATGTTCATATTCTAAAGACGTGCACATTTATGTATGCTCCATCTTTAGATTTTCACTTTCTTTTTTCCTCTCCACTTCTTGCTCTATCCTGCTCCATTTTTAAGGTTTTAAAGGACTTGGGCATGTGTCGTTGCTTGATAATGGTGGCGGTAGTGATTGTGCTGTGTACCTAAAACCAGTATCAAGGGCTGTTGTGTAACAGTGGTAGTGGGAGTCACATAATACAAACTTTATGGGCTATTTGTATGATAACATAGGAAATACAGCGTTATTAATAGTAATCATTGGCCAAATGTGGTGGCTCACACCTGTGATCCCAGCACTTTGGGAGGCTGAAGCTGAAGAATTGCCTGAGCCCAGGAGTTTAAGACCAGCTGGGCAACATAGTGAGACGCCAGCTCACTATTTTTTATTTCCTTTTAAAATTAGCCAGGCGTGATGGTATGCACCTGTAGTCCTAGCTACTCAGGAGGCTGAAGCAGGAGCCTTGAGCCCAGGAATTCAAGGCTACAGTGAGGTATGATTGTGCCACCTCATTCCAGCCTGGGCAACAGAGCAAGACTCTGTGAAAAAACTATATATGTAGGAATTGTCATTAGTAAAATAGAAGTAATTTTGTAGTTTTCTCTAACCAATTGGATGCTGCCACTACCAGTCTCTATTATTATTTATTTATTACTAATGTGCCTAAGATTTTATGTAGCTATATACACAAAAAGTCTCCAGTGTTAATGAGGTCTCTATGCAAATTATGATGCATTCCGGGTGTGAATCATTTTTCACATTTGGGTGTGAAAAAGTTCTGTGTCACAAATTTTTGTGGAGGGCAGGAAGAGCCTTTTCACACTTCAATGTTTTAGTGTGGATGTATGGTGCTACAGTGAACTTAAATATTTATATTCATGCAGTTGCAAATGTTAGACATGACTTCATGGAATCTTTTTGAGGGATATAACTTGGAGAGTTTTGTCATAAAAATGAGAACATTCTTTCTTGCTTAAACCTTTTTCCTTAACAGAGGAAGGCACTGAAGTTGTAGATATTGGAAATCTCTCAGAAATCTAATGTAGAACAGTCTTTTGAGGAGGGACAGAGCATTTCCAAATTACCAACTTCAAGGCTATAAAGGAAATGCAAGCATCATCAAGCGCAGTTCAACCTCCTTACCTTACAAATGGAGGCCCCCAGACAAAAACGTTACATGCCAAACCTAGGCATAAATCCAAGCCTCTCTGTGCCTGTTCATCCAGGCCTCTGCATGCGTATCCAGTAGTCTTTCCATGACGTGGCAGTTGTCCACCTGTGCAGAGAGCAAGAGAAATGTGAATGTTTAATTCATTACAAGCTAAGCAGAAGGCTTTTGCCTGGGAAATTCCCATTAGATTGATGGGATGGGAGAGCAAGGAGAAATAGGAGAAGCTTAATGAAGACGTTGCTCCTCACACCAGTATGTGGCACTTACTCCCTGCCAAAATGTTTACTCATCATCTTACAGATCCTTGCATGCTCATTATTTATAGATAATATTGATTTTTTAATTTTAATTACTAGAGTATTTCACTGCCTTGCTTCTTGACTTACAGAGCAAAAATTATATTATGCATGGACTTTAATATGTGGAAATTCCAGTTCCAAGAATGCAAAGCCTTCATGGTCTTTTTAAGCCATGCGTGTTGGCAAATAAGTCACAGAAGGTTACCTTTAGGTTTGGTTTGGAAGCATGCTGTCTCCAAAGTTTGATAGGAGATTTGGAAAATGGGCCATAGTTGATGTCATCGTTAACCTGCTTGCAAGTTCTCTGTATATGTGCTGAATTACAATAAAAAGAAGTGCCTGCAGGGTGGTGTTACATTTTAAATCCCTCCAAATTCTCATCTTTTCTTGGCTATAATGCAGTATCACCTATTAATTTCTTTAATGACTTTACCTCCTCAAATTTAGCTTGGGGACAGTTACTTACACTTCAGACTTATGTTCTGTCTTCCAAAGTGACCGTATGAAAGAACTTTGGCCTAATTTTCTTAACTTCTCTATCACCCAGAATTTCAGCAAGAGAGATTCATGATAAAAGTAGTTTCTATATTCCTGCTGGTATCAGCTGATTTTGTCTCTAGTATTTCTTTAGTAACAGTAAAGATGATATAAGGGAAAAAAATTAAAGTAGATAATTTTCTGTAATTATTTCCCTAATTATAGGAGAATTAAGGCTGTAAGATCATGCTGAGGCCATAAAGGTAACCACTTCTGAGACATTTTCATATTAAAAACCCAGGAATAGTTTATCAACCTGCGGCTCAGAACCATATTAATATTGTACTGGAAACCTAACATGTGAACCCATAAGACATGTCATTGTACTCTTTGTTGATTCCTGGTATCTTCCCAACACTGTACCCAGGTGTGGTGCTATCATGTAATAAAACATCTCCGTCATACTAACTAATTACAGCATGAACAGGCAATATTGTTAACAATTCCAAACAACTTTGTAATTCTGGGGTTTGTAGTCTATTGTTGTCTATTTTTGTTCTTACAGTGGTTTTATACAGCAGAGGAAATTTAAAATTCACACAGTCTGAAATCATGATTTACTCTAGCAAAGCTGCTTAAACTACTGCTTCTTATAGGGGTTTAAATTGTATGATGTGGGTTATTCTCCATCCCAAACCTCTTCCTTTTAAAGTTGTCCAGATGTAGAACTTTAAAATAGCTGGGTGCAGTAGACCGGTTCCTGTAATCCCAGAGACTTGAGAGACTGAGGCAGGAGGATCCCTTGAGCCCAGGAGTTCAAGACCAGCCCAGGCAACATAGCAAGACCAACCCCTGTCTCTAAAAAAAAGAAAAATTAAAACTCAAAGCAATGGTCATGTCATAATGAAACATGAAGAAGGGAATGTGGGGAGTCATAAATGACTGATACAGAAAAAAAGACTGTGTCTCAATATGAAAAAATATATGTATCTGTGATAGAACCAGTACCAACCATGTTTAATTAACATATCAACTTAAAATGAAGAAGGATTTTATTTCATATATATAGAAAGAAGCCACATCCTTTCTTCATCTTTCATAGTATTTTTCAGTGGATATATTTGGGCTGAAAAAATTGGCTATCAATTATAATCCATGGCTGTCTTCTAAATATGCATTTGAAAGAATAATGACTAAAATTGGAACCCAATCAAAAATCTGAATGTGTTCATGCATTTGCTGGAAATACTGCTCAGGATAATAAATCTTAAGGGGTTCCCTGCAGGAATGCTCCATGTGCCAGCAGTTTTGTTCTGGTTTTCATCTGCTGGTCACATTTGCAATGTCATCTTTCTAGCTACAGAGATTTCTCCGTATACACATGGACAGTGAACTAGCAATTTTAAAATCAAACATATTCTTACCTCAATATAATTTTTCTCAGTTGACCACCAGATCTTCATAAAGTTTCTTAGTAATTTCCCTGAAACTAGCTATTTATTACATTTCTTGGCATAGTACAAGATTTGCCTAAGGTAAGACCAGTATCCTAATAATACATTTCTTTAAATTAGTTTTAAGAGAGCAATAGATAGCGTGCAACGTATTTATAAAAAAGATTTAAACCAACTCAGAATCACACAGGTTTTGTCACAGCTGTTTTACATAAGCCCTCAGCTAACTAATAGCTAAGGGGCTGAGGACCCTGCTGAAATCCACTGTCTACTTGTGGCTGTTATCTCTGTCTAAATATTCATTTAGTTTAGTCCCTTTTATCAGATGAAGTTCTTTTTTTGTGTAAATTTATGAGATACAAGTGTAATTTTGTTACATGCATAGGATTGTGTAGGTGAAGTCAGGGCTTTTAGAGTATCCATCACCCAAATAATGTATGCTGTATAGATGGGGTTCTTTTGTTGGAAGTAATGGAAACTAACTGAATATGGCTGCCTTAAGCAAAAGGTGATTTTTCAGGACATAAGGTAGGTTATATGGAGACAAAAGTAAAGAAGAGGATCTGGGCCTCAGGAAACACAGGAGCCAGGACAGCACCCAGGGTCCAGGGAGCAAGATTTAATCAGCAGGTACAGGCCTGGGAGGGGTCAGCTCTAGTTCCTCTGTGTCACCTCCTCAATAATCACAATAGAGGAAGCTAGAGTATGATTGGTCCTGGGTTAGGTGCCCAGCCCTTGGTTACAATCCTACAAAGATGAGATGAGGTGGGAGTAGTTTCCCAAAGGAAAAGTGTTAGTACCAAAAAATGATGGGAAAGACTACTCTTTATAAATTAGAACCATCAATTTGCCCTACCTTTAAATTACCTGAAAGCTCTCGTAAGGGTAGTAGCTTTTCCATGACAAGCTTTAACGCTTTCCATAAGGTCGTAATGCCTTACGTTTTAGAAAGTGAAAGCACTCTATCATTAGTTACTAGGTCCTTTCTCCTTGGTCTTACTCTTAGTTATCGAGTAGCCAAAATGTATGAAGGATGTTCAGTCAAAATAGACAGCATTCTCCTTGAAACCTAAGAGTGTTGATCTTAATCACTTTGAACCTTCATTTCTCTAAAACCCTACTTGGCATCACATATTTAAAAATGCAGCCTTTAAAACCAAACATACGTAGTTATTGCGATATCACATATACGATAGGCAGAAAACAGAGGAACTGCCTATGAAATGCATAAAGCTTTGATCTACAAGCTGGGTTCTGGTATAAATTTCTCACTTATGCTAAATTAGTCTTTATGGCTCTTTAAGATAAATAATATTTATATTTATCTTAAATCAATAAATAAATGATATCTGACCCAGACTATTCAAATTAGGTCTTGAAAGAATCCCCAAGAGGTAAGACTCTTCATAGCATCACCTTGAAAGAAAGTGCTTCACAGTTTGCAATTGCAAAAATATGCAACCAGCCCAAATGCCCATCAGTCAACAAGCGGATAAAGAAAATGTGGTGTATATATACAGTATGGAAGGCTGCTCAGCCATAAAAAGGAATGAAACAATAGCATTTGCAGCAATCTGAATGTAAAAGGAGACCATTATTCTAAGTGAAGTAACTCAGGAATGGAAAACCAAACATCGTATGTTCTCACTCATAAGTGGCAGCTAAGCTATGAGGACGCAAAAGCATAAGAATCATAGAATGGACTTTGGGGACTTGGGGGAAAGGGTTGGGGGGGTGGTGAGGGTACAGTGTACACTGCTCAGGTGATGGGTGCACCAAAATCTCAGAAATCACCACCAAATAACTTATTTATGTAGCCAAACACTACCTGTTCTCCAAAAACCCATTGAAATAAAAAAAAAAAGAGAGAAAGTGCTTTGTCAACCCTAAGTATTAGCCCACAATCAAATTTCAACTTTATGTAAAAGGAATCTCTTACTACCACCTAGGACATTCATTGACATGCCCAGCATTGGGTAAACAAGGCTATAATTTCCTTCAGGTCTCTCGAGCCTTTCCTAAACCTAACAGTTGAGAATTCTGAGCTAGAGGGTATATTTAGGTAGGACTGCAGTTCAATACATTACATAAATATGTACTTGTATGTTACCATGTTTTTGTGATTCTTTAAATCTTCTCTTCCATCCTGTAATGTATTTGGAACACCCTCATAAATGGATATATCATAGGATTAAATTGATATTTTTGTAAAATAGAAATCTCTCCAATTCCATCTCTTTTTCCATTCCTGTACTCATTGCCTTTTTTCCTCAGAGGTCTGAAAAGAAAAAGAAACGCTGCTTTTCTGAGAGTTTGCAGTTTATAGGTATGGAGAAAGAAAAGGGTATACCTATTATTTTTCGCTTTAGATCTGAATTATATTGTACTCTTTGAAGAACCTTGTAGCTTAACTGAAGAATGGACTGATTTCTTACAGTGAAAGTGACTTACAGTAATCTTCCCCAAACTGCACAGTCCATAAGGCATTTATTTGTGAAAGACAAGGAAGTATGGAATTGTATTAAAGGTAGGAGACAAAGGCTAAAGGCAACCATGTGAAGAACAGAGGAAAGTTGCTGCCACCTAGAGGTAAAAGTTGGTAAATTTTGAGAATGTGCTGTGAATACTCAAAAATTCTTGAGTAGACATTGATGTAATGTAATCCTAAACTGAAATGCAGCCAAGTGACTTAGTTTCTGCCTCTAGGTGAGACGAGATTTATTCCATCTCCCTTCACTCCCCATTAGTAGTGTCTCCATATTCCTCATGAGATTTTGGTGACCTGGGTGGGTTTTTGCATTTTTTGCCAGCAGTAGCCTTGTTACTGGTCATAATAACTTAAGTTATTGAAAGTCTTCATCCTGTACAATATAATCTCAGTTATTTGGAAGTCATCATTACCATGGCTAATAGAGAATGTGTTTTCCGCAGTCTTGGCTATCTTTTTTCAAATATACTCTCAGAAGCACCACTAAACTACAGATCTCATCAAATTGTGTGGCTGATGCTCTTTTCCTTTCTCCCAGGAGAGGGCCAGCAGCAGGAGAGGCCTGCGTGATGAGAGGCAAGGGTCCCGGGCACACCAGTCAGAGGAAAGGACCCTGGGACTCTCCTAAGTTATGCCAAGACCTAAAAACAAACGTAGCAGCACCAGTCTCCAGAACAATATGCAATTGAGCCTGTTTTCATTTTGAGTGTTAGGAATTGATTAGATGTAGCCCTAACATTTTAAAAAATTGTCAGAGCATTTTTTTAAATGGAAAGAAGCCTGGGTAGCAAGAAATTTGGTGCTGCCACATTTGGCTTGCTACTCTCTCTTTTCAGGACACCCATATTGCACAACCCCAGGGGGCACTATTCACATCGTATTCTATGTGAAGGGTACCTCCAGGAGCATTAAAGGAAAACATATTGGCATAGAAAGGTGAGAAAATATGAAGAGAATATGTGTGTGAGTTTCCATGTCTGCCTCTCTCTCCTCTCCTGAGTGGGAGGCTTGATTGAATGCTATTGATGATGGCTTTCAAGGAGAAAAGGGCTCCAAAAAAATACAAGAAGATCCAAGCAACACCTTTTAGAAAGGGAGGATCGCAATCAGAGTGTTCCTTGTCTATCTTACACCCTTCTGCTTCCTTAGAATGCATTAGTCGAGCCCCTTCTCTGCCTAGCTTCCATGTGGGCCTTTACTTGCTTGTCTTCTTTATTTTCTCCTAGCCTGTATTTAATTTTAATCCTTAATTTAAGTATTTAAGTTCTATGTCACTTACAAACCTGATCATCTTTTGAAATTGCCAGAGATTGACTTTTTTTTTTTTTTTACACTTGGTAGCATTATCACTTTTCCAGAATATTTGTGTTCATTCATCTGTTCCCTCTTCAGTAAAATTATTGTGCCTGCAATGATCCAGCCACTTTCTGTGCTCTAGGGGCACAGTATTTAATAAGACAAATGCGGCCCCCACTTCTTACCATGTAGTGGAGCAAGAGTGACAACTGGCTAGCATCTGGTAGTGATAAGTGCCTTGATGAAAATGTAATGAGGATATGATTGGAGATGACTAGAAAGCAATCCAAGGGGTTTGGCCAGAAAATGCCTCTTGAAAGGAGGTGACTTGGCATCTGGGAGCTGAATGACAGGAAGGAACCATCTGGGTGAGGGTCTGGGCACATTATTCCAGGTGCTAGAAACAGCTCACACAAAGGCCTTCAGATGGGAACAAACATGGACATTCAAGGAACGAAAAGTGAATGAGGGGAAGCGTGAAACAACCTCAGCTCAGAGAGGTCGGTGGGAGCAGAAACATGTAGTCCGCAGTCTGGGTGGGACGGGGACCGCGGATGACTTTGAGCAGGAGAGTGAAGTGGTGGAGTCTTATGTTTCAGGCTTAGTCTGGCAGCTTGTTGGAGAAAGGGCTGTAAGAGTGTGGAAGGAGGCTGGGCATGGTGGCTCACACCTGTAATCCCAGCACTTTGGGAGGCCAAGGCGGGTCGATCACAAGGTCAGGAGTAAGAGACCAGCCTGGTCAATACAGTGAAACCCCATCTCTACTAAAAAATACAAAAATTAGCCAGTACTAATTTTTGTATTTTTTACAAAAAAATACATAATGATGGTGGCGGGCACCTGTAATCCCAGCTACCTAGGAGGCTGAGGCAGGAGAATTGCTTGAACCCGGGAGGCAGAGGTTACAGTGAGCTGAGATCGTGCCACACCTGGGTGACAGAGCAAGACTCTGTGTCAAAAAAAAAAAAATATATATGTGGAAGGGAGCAGGGGAATGAGTGAGGAAGCCAAGGCTGTGGCTGAGGAGAAAGACATGCTAGCCACGACTAGAATGGTATCCACAGAAGGAGAGAAGTGGATGCAACTAGGATGCGTTCTGAAAACTGTAAACAGCAGTTGCTTATGGAAGGAAATGAAGAGAAGAATCAAGGATGACACCTAGTTTTAGTGTGAGCAACTGGTGGTTGTGGTTGGGAATTTAGAGCAGAAGGCAAGTCCGTAGATGTAAAGGTAGGTGCCATTGGCATATAAATGATAGTTACCACAGGGTGCATGTGTGTGGTGTGGGTGTGTCTATTTGATGTTAAGGGACAGAACAGTTCTTGAGATGAAGAAAATCCGAAGGTAAAAATGCCTGCAAACCATTAACTAAAGGCTGTAAAAATGTACAGTGGATGAGCCACAAATATTAATAGGTGGCTGGGCATGATGGCTCATGCCTGTAATCCCAACACTTTGGGAGGCCAATGCAGATGGATCTCTTGAGCTCAGGAGTTCAAGACCAGCCTGGCCAGCATGACAAAACCCCATCTCTACAAAAAATACAAAAATTAGCTGAGTGCAGTGGCATTTGCCTGCACTCCCAGCTACTTAGGAGGCCGAGGCAGGAGAATCACTTGAACCCAGGAGGCAGAGTTTGCAGTGAGCACTCCAGCCTGGGCAACAGAGTGACACTCTGTCTCAAAAAGTAAAAAATAAAAAATAAAATAAATCCATAGGTAAACTGGACAGAAGCTGTATGAATGTATCTAAGGCTGCCTGTGTGTGTCCTCAGGGTACAAAGGACCCTGTAAGTTTCAGCCAATTTCTTCACCCCACGTGCACATGCTGTCAGCAGCCCATTGTAAAATGATGCCACTTACCCCCAGTAGATGTCCAGCCCCGGACTGCTCTGTGAGATATCTGACTTCAACTGAATAAATACGTCTTAATATATGAGGGCCCATTTTCCCAAAACACCAAGTACCCTGATGTCTTTCTTCCACAAGAAGACTTTAGCATTGGAAGAGCCATTTATTCTATCTGTTCATATTCCCTAACCTCAGTCTTCTCATTCCTCGTCTACAAAATCACCCAAGCTAGAAACCTCATGGTAACTCCAACTCTGTCATAACCCACATTTATTTGATCAAATGAGTCCAGCATTCCTCCTCCTAAATATTGCTTGGCAGTGTTGGCTCTTCCTCACCCCACATGCCCTCATCATCTCTTGCCTGAAACATTACCCTAAGCTCCGAACAGGTCTGTTTAGATTCCATCTTACACCAGTCAGAATGGCTATTATTAAAAAGTCAACAGATGTTGGCAAGGATGCAGAGAAAAAGGAACACCTATACACTGTTGGTGGGAATGTAAATTAATACAGCCTCTATGGAAAACAGTACGAACATTTCTCAAAGAGCTAAAAATATAACTACCATTTGATCCAGGGGTCTCATTAATGGGTATCTACCCAAAGGAAAAGAAATCATTATATCAAAAAGATACCTGCACTCATTTGTTTATCACAGCACTATTCACAATAGTAAAGTCATGGAATCAACCTAAGTGTCTATCAGCGGATGATTGGATAAAGAAAATGTATCACATATACACCATGGAATTCTAGATTCACTTCTTTCTACTCCTCCTCTGAATCCAATCATTGCCATGCCTACAGTGATTATTATAAAATGCAAATGGGATTGCTCCTGTCTTTACAACTCTGTGGTAGTGTGCCATGATTTAGAAGTCCAAAGCCCTTAACACTACGTATGAGGCCCTTTGCATCACATAACTCTTTCCATCTCACTTCTCACAAATTGTTTCCATCTTCCCGTGGACCCTAAATTTCAGCCACACTGAACTTGTTACATTTCCCAAAACAGCTTGATCACCAAGGAAACTAATTCTCAAAAACTCAGTTTAAAAATGTTCTTCTGCATCAGGAAAAAAATAGCTAATGCATTCTGGGCGTAATACCTAGGTGATGGGTTGATAGGTGCAGCTAATCACCATGGTACACATTTACCTATGTAACAAACCTGCATGTCCTGCACATGTACCCCAGAACTTAAAATTAAATTGAAAAATGCTTTTCTGTGAAGACTTCCCTGCAGTCCCCCCACCCATCAGCCTCTTCTTCCTCTCTGATCCAATGCCACCATATGGAGCATAGCATCACTTTTATCATGATTTACTGTATTTGTTGGCCCGTGTGTAATGTTCTTTCCACCTTCTCCTCAAGCCTGAGGCCCTCCAGTATGAAGGCTGTCCTTGCCTGGCTCCAAGCACAGCACATGTGGCAGCAGGTTCAAGGCATATTGATCAGTGAAATGAAGACATCTCTTCCACTATCCTCATCTATTGGTAGGAAAACTGAAGCCCGGAGTTTGAATGATTTTGTCCAAATTTGCACAGGAGCTAGGATTAGAACTTAGAACTTCTGCCGCCTGACTTTGGTGGTTCCCTTTCCACATTTTGATGGCTGTTTCCCATTCCTTAGTCAATATTTTCAGAAAAGTAGAAATACTCAAATTCAGAGGATAGCAAGACATATTTTCACATTACAGACATCTTTAAACATTGGTTACATCATTTCTGCCCTTTCTCTGTTTATCGTTGTTATGCCTGACAAAATGTTTGAAGAATAATGGTGACTACTGACCTGAATTTCAGAAGCTAAGATTTTAGACCTGTTCTGTCACTCTCTAATTATGTGATCTGGGGCAAGATTGAGTCCCTTATGCCTGATCTTGCCTGTTTCTTTCCACAGGGATTATGTGAAAATAAATGGAGATGAGTATGTAGGAAAGAGCTTTATGTCACAGAAGGCAGGATGCTACAAAATACCTCTGCAGTATTGTCACTGTTCACTTTTCTTTTAAATATAACCACTTTTATTCATGCTTTAGAAAGAAAAAACCAACTTTCATAAGTTTCCTTTCTCTTCTTCTTTCGACAATCCATATAGTATTATAAAAGATTGGGATTCTAATTCTTACCTCCACCTGATTTTTACGTTTTTGGCCTTCCCTCTGATCCACTTGATCCTGAATTTAATTATCAGGCTTACATTAACACCCTGTCTCTTTGCTTGCTCTGCCTAGCAGTTCTTCATGGCTGAGTGAAAAGAGCTTGATTAGTAAAAGCTTACCCTTTTATATTTCCTTGCAATTAGTCCAATAAAAAAGCATCACCCCCTGGATGGGCTTTGTGTGGCTATTTTTTTAAAAATCTTTTTCCTTTGGCTGTGCTAATTTGTTGGCTTTTTGTCTCTTGTGTATGTTAATGAATTTGAAGATCAGTCTTTTAGTTTTAATTGTCACACCTTTGAAGACACAAACACCTTCAAACATTAAAACTCTGGAAATAGGATTTAGAATGAGATTTAAATGCAGGCTCTGTTGTTTAATGGGATTAATGCATACGACATTTTCATATGAACAAAGAATAAATATCTTTTTTTCTTTTTAATCTCTTAGCTGAATCAGCAGGTACTGAATTTTAAGTGGCATTGTGCAAAGTGTCAATCCATGTTGGTATAAAGAGGTAAACCATTTATCTTTCTGAGGGCTGAGAAGCTGGGCCTCCCCTAGGATTGTAGCAAGCTGAGGGCCCGTGGTCTTAGAACACACACTGAAAAGGGCCTTCTAATGATAAAAAACTGAACATAGGTACTCTATAGGAAATGACCATCAAAGTAAATCGAGTGTTAATTGGCCACAGAGGGAGATGTGGCCTCTGAAGTACTGAATGTATAGGCTTTTATTCTCTAGTAACTTTTCCAAGGCCTTTAAAACTGACATGGGGTGAATAAATATAAAGAACAGGAGTCCAAACAACTCAATGGAAAGAGCACAGCTTTGGAATCAAAGGATGCAGATTCAAATTCTACCTGCTGTTGGCTTTTGGCGTTAAGCAAATCATCAAACTCTTCACTATCATTTCCTCTGTGGTAATATACAACAAAAATATATCTCCCAGAGCTCCACATATTAAAATTTAAATGTATTTGGCATAACTTGGCCTGCCATTAAAAAAATACCATAGATTGTGTGGCTAAAACCACAGGACTATTTCTCACAGTTCTGGAGGCTGGGAAGTCCAACAGCAAGCCATCTGGTGATTCAGTTCCCGGGGAAGGCTTTCTTGCTGGCTAGCAGAGTGCACCTTTTCTCTATGTCCTCAAAAAGTGGAGAGAGAAGAGAACTTTGATCTTTCTTCCTCTTCTTATAAAAGTACACTAATCCCATCCTAAGGGCCCCACCACCCTCATGACCTGATCTAAATAATCCCCAAAGGCCCCATCTCCAGATACCATTGCATTGAGGATTATGGCTTCAACGTGTGAATTTTGGGGGACACAGACATTCAGTCCATAACTGTTAATTCAGATTAAAGGTCTGGACAGACAAGGATCATATATAATATTATTTTTATTAAAATACCAACTTCTGATATCAGCTCCCTTAAAACTTAAACATCACTTCAGTCCGACTTTGTCTTCTGTGTGACAAAGGAATCTGATATGGGATTACAAATGGGCCCTGGAATCAGTAATTTGCTCCCAGGTGTGCCTGGTTATATTGGTGGTAAATAATTCATCCTCTGGTGATAGAGGCGAGTCTCCAAAGTGATTCTCCACAAATTCATCGTTTTCAACACTTCCCTCCAGTGGAAACAATGAAGTCAGTTTTCACCAGAAATGGACATTGTACTTTGTTAGAACCACCTTTCAATGATATTTTACATTCTTAAGCTTTTCACAGTTTTCACACAGTTCATAGATACCATTTTATTTATTTCTCAGACCCATTCTGTGACATGTCTTGAAAAACAGTTTTATTTTAATCTTTAAAATGAAAAGAGAAAGAATAGAGTAGGGATCAATAAATCAGACTGCCTATTTTCATATTTCAGTTACTATATATTAACTCTGTAACTTCGAGCAAGTTATTTTATATCTCTGAGTCTCTGGTTCCTAATCTGTAAAATGGGGCTTGCTAATAATACCTGTTTCATGGTTATCATGAGGATTAAATGCACTATATTACATATAAAGCTCAAAGGACAGTATTTACCAAACGCAATAAATAAGTGTTGACTATTATTACAAGGGGATGCAAGACTCATTTATGTACAGCCATGACTAATACATAGCTAACATTAATTATGTAATCTACTAGCTAAAATGTACTTTGACCCTTTAATAGATAATACAATTTGAGAGCTAGGTTAACTCAATTCCCCAATATGATATAACTAAGCTAACCTTGACATATCTACTGCGTCCTTCTCATTCAGTCCTTTTCCTTTACCTACCCTTTAAATGTTCATGTTCTTCAAAGTTTCATTTCCTTTTGCATATTCTCCCTTGATAACAGCCTTCTCCGTAGCTAAAACACTCACCTCTTTGCTGATGGCAGCCTGGGTTCTTCATTCCTCCTCTGGATCCCTGCCATGTCTTTTTGTCATGGCCCTCAATTGTGTGCATGTAAGGAAGTATGTGTGCCTCTCTTAGACTATAAGTCTCCAGCACCTACCATAAGGTCTGGCCCATAGTAGACACTCAGTAAATATTTGAAGGAAGAAAGAAAGAAAATGCCAGGAGTAGTGGCTCATACCTGTAATCCCAATACTTTAGGAGGCTGAGGCAGGTGGATCACTTGAGGTCAGGAGTTCGAGACCAGCCTGACCAACATGGTGAAATCCCATCTCTACTAAAAATACAAAAAAATTAGCCAGGTGTGGTGGTACACACCTGTAATCTCAGCTAATTGGGAGACTGAGGCAGGAGAATCACCTGAACCAGGGAGGCAGAGGTTGCAGTGAGCCAAGATTGTGCCATTGCACTCCAGCCTGGGCGACAGAGCAAGAGACTCCATCTCAAAAAAAAAAAAAAAAAAAAGGAGGGAGGGAGGGGCATGGCTTTAAACTGAAATATGCTAATTCTTCTAGTTTCAACTCCATAATTAAATCACTCTTAATTTTTTTAGAAAGATACACAAAATTTAAATAAAATAGAATGTTTTAAGACTCTTATCAAACTTCACTCAATTAAAATAATGAGCTAATTGAAAGTCTGACATATTTTGAGCACCTACTAGGTGCCAGGCAGTATAGTAATGCTCAGAATTAATATAAAGGTATCTAAAAGGAGCTCTGTCTTTGGAAGAATATAAAGGTATCTAAAGGAGAATATAACGGCATATGTAAATATAAATATATAAAGAATATAAAGGTATCTAAAGGAGCTCTGTCTTTGGAAGAGAATTCAAGCTATGGTGAATGAGTTAGTAAAGTTATGTTGCGGCTGTGTGTTAACAGACTTTTATAAAGACAGCATTGCCTCTTTGTCACAGGTTGGTCTTTCTATTCCTCACCAATTTAACATATTTAGATATTACATCATATGTTGGCCCTGGGAGTTAGCCTTGTTTGAGATAATAAAATTCATATTTGTTTCATTTCATTTGTAAGTTTTAAATACATCGATATCTATTGCTTTACCTCTTTAATACTTCTCTTAGTGTGTTTTATCACATGAAGAAACCAAAATATAATTGAATTAATATAGTCCCTGCATTGTTTGCCCACATGTACATATACACACTTCTAACTGTGGCAATGCACAGTTTTTTTTTTTTTTTGGTGGTTTCCTTTGTAGATCTTTACCAGCCAGGTGCCACACCGTTGTGAAATGTCATTAGAATGCTGATTTCTCTCTGGGTCCAGAGACCTATTTTGAAAGCATCTGACAGCGTTTTGCCCGATGCAGATGGTGTGTACTACGTATTTTGCAGGACATTACGATCCTTGAAATGTAAAAATGATACGTCATTTAACTTTTTCCACAGTTACTGATTCAGTTATTTAGTGGTATACCCTTGACTTGCATGCTTTCAAACTGGTGGGTATCTTGAAAATATCATTAAGTGAAATTAGAATCTTGGTGCTATTTTTGCTTGGTGTTATCTGAAATAATGCATAGCTTTTGCAAATTTGTGATTATTAATAGATTTGGAGGCCTCTGATTCTAGAAATTACATACGTGCAGAACAATGACAAGTGTTAACAAAGGAGCATTTTCTTTTTCTTTTTACACTTAGTATTTTGACCTGGTGTGTGAAAAACAGTAATTATCACATGTGATACTTTTACAAAATATAAATTCAGTCCTTGTCACAATCTGGGTTGACATTTGTTAGATATATTTTAAGGATAATAATTACCTTTAATATTTATAAATATGTATGGTTACAATTGTACTGGTTAGAGCATGCCCTTCAGTCCTCATCCTAGGTGACCTAAATGTCAAATGATTTAATACACTGGAGGAGGAAAACCAGAGCCTACTTCTGAGCTACTGACACAACTCCATTCATAGTGAGCTCTTTCACAACGTCATGATTTTAGTTGCAATTGGATAAGAGTAGCGTCCCCTCTTTCCTACCTAAAACATATGCTTTAAATGTATGTGCATTTGTAATATGTGTTCTCTTATGTCCCCAGGTGGTCAAAGAGCACATGTGCAAAACAGAACCCCATCCTGCAGTTATGTGTGGTAATGAACCACGGCTTAAACAATGAATACGGATGCATTAACCACAAATTCTTATAAACAATAAATGAATAAATAAGTTATTTTAATGGGTACCTAGCAGCTATAATTTTAGGTACTCATAAAAGTGACTGATTACATTAGCAGGCCTTGGTCTAAAGAGTGCAGCTGGCTAACACTAGAAGGCTCTGTAGAACTAGAAAGTGCAACCATGGCCTCAGAATTTAACACCAGGATGCATGAATGTTGAGTTCTTTTCTGACACACTAGCCTTCATCAAAGGTAAACTCAACTAGCCACCATCAGAAATTAATGAACCCTAATAATGTAGAGACATGCGTATGCTCACCTATGCGTAGACATGCATACGTCACCTTGCAGTTTTATTTTTTCATGTCCTGATGCAGGTTTGGCAAGTGCTGAGCATCGTTTTGTCATGCTCATCCTAGGCAGCAGGCTTTCCTTCCCTGCGTTGCTCCTCAGTGTCTACCTACCTGCTCCTGAAGCCCTGGGGCTCTATAGCAGTTCCTCCTGTGTTGCTTTTTCTGGCTTCATTTGCTGTTGCTGCCACCCCCCACAACCCCCCATTACTAGACCACCCCCTGGGTAGCTGACCCAGGCTCCAGGATGTCCATCACACAGGCCCCAGTCACCTGCTTTTTGCTCCTACCACCAGCGTGCCTAAAGGGTTTATAAAGGCCTATCTTGAAAAGACCCCTCCTGCAGGAGACCTACACTCACCCTTTCAAAACGCCCTTTCATCCATGCCCTCATGAGAAATTCACAACCAACCCTTGCGACATTCACAATAGGTAGTATTGACCCCATTTTGTCAGTGATGAAATTGAAGTTCCAAAATAGAAATTCAGTTATTTGTCCTATGGAACAAAGCCACTTTGCAACAGCCCTGGCACATCTAGATCTTCACATTCCAAATTTAGCAGTGAATCTCCTAATCCAATCCATGCTACCCAAAGTCAGACTTGAATTCTTATTTGTAGATGGAGAATTTGAAAGCAGACTTAACAGCGGTATTTAACTTTAGTTCAAAGATGCCATAGGTCTTGGCATTTGGGTCTGTTTGAGGTATGGAAAAATATTTGTAGATGTAGAACTTTTCTTACATAAGAAGAGTTTCCAAATAAATAGGAGAGGTCACTAAAGTTCTTGCAAGTACTTCTCAAAACTTTTTTAAAGGTATACATTAGTTTCTTCTACCTGGACTGCTTGAAATAGAATCCTGCCTCAAGGAATTAGTAAATGATAAGAGCCCTCCATGTACTTCTTAGTCATTTTATTTTTCTCTCTTTCCTGGAAGCGTAACTTTCTTAGAAACCACAACTTTGGTTCTTCTCACTGATGAGCAGAACTTTTAAAAATAAGGTGATTATTCTGAAATAGTTCTGAAGCATGCTGATACCAAAGCGGAGTTAAAATCTACTTCTTGGATCAGCTTTTTCCAACTCTACATAAATACACATAAACCCACACATATAATGTAATATGCATGCTATATCTTTTCAGAGGTTTTCTAGGAGCCATTTTGAAAGAAGTTTCCTTGTAACTTTAATGAATGGGAGAACGTTTTTTTCTAGTACTCCCCCAACCCTGCCTTAATTTCTAGTACATTCAACTTGTTATGTAATTGTATAGTAAGTCTTAAGGCAAAGCCATATTCTACGGTGCTTTCAGGATCTCAGATCAATAGTTATTTTATATAAGATAGCACTGATCAGACAGCAGAATTTTAGACTCTCTATACAAGAAGAGTTGATCCTGAGAGAAGTAATGTTAAACCCCTCTGTCAATATTCTGTAAAAGTGAGTAATAACACCACCACCTAGCACATGTAATGATTATGTTATTCATAGATGAATATGCCTAACTCCTCACTCCCAGTTTTCTCATATGCCAAGCCTAAGTTTGGAAATAGAGTGCAGCCCAGAGCTGAGGAAAGAGGATCTACCGTTAAATAAACATGATGTCCTCAGTCCATCTGATATGTTACATGCTGCTTTCAGCTGCCTTTGCGGCAACTCTTGCTTTAAGTGGAGGAACTAACAGAAACAGGATTTTCTTATGTAAGAGAAAAGACTACGAAAGGGATGAGACTAAAGGCTCCCTTTTTTTTTTTTAATCCCGAAGAGAACACAAACCTATGGCTCTTCCTGACTTAATGAGAGGTTGACATTAAAGAACTGAAGAACAGCCTTTCCTTTGAGCAGTGGGAGGCTGAGCCATATCAAGTCCTTCATGGGATAGTTTATTATTTTCTCTTGTGGCTGTAATATTTTCTTAAAAGAAGGAGCAAGTTGTAAACCTGAGCTCTCATTTGAAAAGTATATGTCCCACCATTTCATCTTCTCAGCACTGTGCGGTTGATGTAGTAACATTTCTACTGTGTGACCTCTATCTTAAAGAGAAGGTCAAACTTAATCTACTTAATCTGCCTAAACTCTATTTTACTCATCTGTAAAATGGGGATGATAATGCCACCACCTTAGATGTTAGAAGAATTAAATAAAATGATACATTTGAAATGTGAGAAGGACATGAGATTTGGGAGGGGCCAGGGCGGAAGGGGAATGTAAAATGGGAATGATAATGCCATCATCTTAGATGTTGGAAGAATTAAATAAAATGACGCATGTAAAGTATTTAGCGTAGTATCTAGCCAACATTAAATTGCTCTATAACTGTTAAATATTGTTAACTATTAAGATTTGAATACCAAAAAGTTCAATGAAAGGAAAATTACTATTTGTAATCCTCTAGCTATAGACTGAAATTTATATACACTCTATATTTTGAGCTCAGGTTTGACTGAAGTAAAACTAGGAAGTAATTTCAGAGACTTGGTTCAGTTCTTACAATTTTCTGCTTTCCTAAGTAAAAAAAAGTGTATGTTCTACAGGACACCTTAAATATTCAAGAATCTTCTCCAAATCTAATACAAGAATCTAAAATGTAAATAAGCGCTGCCCTTTGCTTTTATTTTTTTTCCCTTTGCTTATATCTCTAAATACTCTGCATTTTATTAAATTGACTTTGTTGACTCTGCTCAACAACCATAAAACAAGAGACTCCTCAGCAGGTTGGGCTTAAAACTCACCATATCCGTAGGCTTTTTCAGCCTCTTGTAAAAGGTCAACGTGAGTGACTGCAGGAAAGTGAAGTCTCTTGTCAGTTGGTGATCTTTGTTGTATGCATAGCAGATGACAGTAGAGATAGTCCCCACCTTACTCATGACTGCATCCCCCGAGCTTAGTGCTACACTCTGCACATAAGTGCTCAATAAATATTTGTGAAATGATAAATGAGCAACCAGTCTCACAATTTTCTGGAGATTTTTTGAAAACAACATTTTTTTAAACTTAACTGTAGATAGAATATTTTAAAAGATAAGAGCAGTAACTTGTTAGTGTAAAGTCAACCTCCAAAAACAATAGCTCCAAAGGAGCTATTGATAAACATGATGGGAAGTCAGAGATGAGGGTTGTAATCCTCTTAGATTAGCCTTAACATACTTGAAATTGAAATAATTCAAATGAGTGACCCTGAAGCTCTGAAGGTTCCATGGTATGTGGTTTCAAAAACACTGTTATAGAATTCAGAGAGAATGTGTTATTGGCCTAAGAACTGTAAAAATAGTTGGGATCTGGCAGATTGCAGTAGAAATCTTTGCCATAATTCTTTGTAAATCTGAAAGCAAGGTTTCTTACCTAGCAAGGAAACCAGCATCTAAGCCTTTGAAACCACAGCAATACCTTACCAACCTAAAGCTTTTGTAGGTCTTCACAGCATTGTTGGTGTAGCTCTCCCGGGGTCAGGGAACAACCCTGGCAGGCTCCCTTGTATGGGGGCGGCATCGTGGGTTGCCACGGCAGAGCTTATGTGAGCTTTCCAGTCGTGCTTCCTCATCACATCGACGTGTTTCATCTAATTGGGTTTTGGGTTTTCTCTCCTATAAGATGCAGTCAAATTTCCTTCTGTTCCATGGGAACATTGTCAGGATGAATTGTAACTTTAAAAATGAATAAAACGTCTTTAGAGGATATTTAACTCTTCAGCAGAACGATGTTATAGAAATGAAAGTCATTATTATAAACTTAAAGTATTATGTGAAAATGCCGTTAGCACTTTGAGACTGTGTCTCATTTTGTGTCTTCTGTTTTGCTTTTGCTCCTGGAATTTTTAGGACTGTCTTCAGGGTGTGTAAACTGCGTTAGCACTGGGCGGGCTTTGCATCTGTAAGTGATACTGTCTGCCAGAGCAGACTGCTCTGCTGTTCTTGCTGCACTTTCCCAAGTCTGCCCACACACTGACATGCTACAGAGGCTCCAAAACTGAGACATATGTTAGAGCACAAAATGCTTTCCCCGCAGGACTCCTAGAGGGTGTCGGAAGAATGCTTTCCCTGATTCCTGCTTCTTGAGATAAAAGAACATTTGGCAAAGAAAGTCTAAATAGTTGCTTTGAAAAAATAAATCAAGAATTGAACTCATTTTTAAAAACTAGGCCAGGTGCAGTGGCTCACAACTGTAACCCCAGCACCTCGAGAGGCCAAGATGGAAGGATCATTTGAGGCTAGGGGTTCAAGACCAGCCTGTCAACATAGTGAGACCCCATCTCTATTTAAAAATAAAAATAAACTAAAGGATCCATGACATGCCTATTCCTAAATCATCTTCTGTGATAATGCTTAAGCAGGTTTACCCTGTGTCTTAGTCTTTTTCAACTACTGTAACAAAATGCCATAGACTGAGTGGCTTACATATAACAGAAATTTATTTGTCGTGGTTCTGGAGGCTGCAAAGTCCAAGATCAGGGTACCTAAAGATTCAGTGTCTGGTAAGGGCCTGCTTTTCTGGTTCATGGACCTCACCCTCCTACTGTGTCTTCACATGGTAGAAGGAGCAAGGCAGCTCTCTGGAGCCTCTTTTATAAGGGCACTAATACTCATGAGGGCTCCACCCCTATGACCTAATCATCTCCCAGAGGCTTCACCTCCTAATACCTTCACTTTATTTTTTAACTTGTGTTCTTGCTGTGAAAATTTAAAAAACCAGCTTTCAGACATACCTAAATGAGACAGTTTCAATGTATGAAATTTTGGGAGGACATAAACATCAGACCATAGCACCCCACAACTGTCTACAGTGGTCCAGTTCCTTCTCATGGCTTTCTAGGAAGGCTTCTTGTTACACTTAATTAACACACCTCAGAAGGTAATATGTTTGTGCTAAAAGGAAAAACTGTGATTTGGAATTGGAAATTACACAATTTGTTTAAAAGATAAAATTATCCAAGAATGTGCTAAACCCAGATAAATTTACAAATGTTTTTATCATTGGCAAAGCTAGCTTAATGTTTTCTCTGATTATTTATCATCATGTCTATGTAAATGCAAGAACGATTCAGAAGCTATTAATGGCCAACAATTGTGAACTTACCCTAGAATTAGAAGGAAAAAAAAAGGAGACTCTAGTGCTGCATAGAGTCTCTAGAGAATGTCAGATAACAGCAGTGGAATAAAGGACATACATGGGCATGCTCATTTCTCCAGCCTCTGCCCCAGAGCAATGACTCCCAACCTTTATGGAGATATAATACTCATTAATTTTTTTATTGATTTTATGCCTTCACTTCTACATCTTACATGAGCTATATGACATACATTTTTTAAAAACTGAATTGAGCCCTTTTGCAATTTCCCTTGAGGTAAACAACAATACCTTAATATATTCCCAGCCCAGAATTGGGGAACAGTGAGAAATCATTTATTAAGAAAACATTTGTTAAGGTATTTACCAGGCACTGCTTCAGATGCTTTGCATGTTAACTCATTTAATCCTTTCCACACCCTTTAAGACAAGTACATTTATTATTATTATTATTATTATTATTATTATTATTATTAATTTGAGACAGAGTCTCACTCTGTCACCCAGTCTGGAGTGTAGTGGCACAGTCTCGGCTCACTGTAGCCTCCACCTCGTGGGTTCAAGCAATTCTCCTGCCTCAGCCTCCCGAGTAGTGGGATTACAGGCATGCACCAACACATCTGGCTAATTTTTGTATTTTTAGTAGAGACAGGGTTTCATCATGTTGTCCAGGCTGTTCTTAAACTGCTGACTTCAAGTGATCCACCCACCTCGGCCTTCCAAAGTGCTGGAAATACAGGCATGAGCCACTACGCCCAGCCAAGTACGTTATTTATTCCGTTTTATAGAAAGGAAACTGAGGCATTGAGGCCCTAAGTTACTTGTCCATAGTGGCACAGTTAGATGGGTGGGGCCTGGTAATCTGACTGCAATACCAGGCATTTAACTGTAAACCTCAACAGATGGCCGGCAGTCCACACTTCAGAAGTAACAGTCATCAGTGGAAGTTGTATGAAAATCACTGTGGCTATGTTTATCATGGTCTTTGTTCTTTATAACATTTCACCTACACAGCCTTTTTAGGGTAATCTTACCATTCATGTTACATCCCTCAGCATGCATAGATTCTATCTGAATTTCTCCATAGTCACTCATATTTGGGTTTTGCCTGACTTTTGTTGTTGTTTTTCCCCAAACATAATACATATTTACTTACCCAGATTTGAGATTCGAAAGATCAGAGACAGTGTCTTTTACTACTTGTCGATTTTTCACAAAATACATGGAAAAACAGTAGAATAAGAACTTAAAAATATGTGATGGGCCGGGTATGGTGGCTTATGCCTGTAATCCAAACACTTTGGGAGGCTGAGGCGGGTGGATCACCTGAGGTCAGGAGTTCGAGACCAGCCTGATCAACTTTATGAAACCCTCTCTACTAAAAATACAAAAAAAAAAAAAATTAGCCAGGCGTGGTGGTGGGCACCTGTAATCCCAGCTACTTGGGAGGCTGAGGCAGGAGAATCGCTTGAACCCTGGAGGTGGAGGTTGCAGTGAGCTGAGATCAGGCCACTGCACTCTAGCCTGGGTGACAGAGCAAGACTCTGTCTCAAAAAAATGTGTGTGTGTATATATATGTGTGTGTGTGTATATATATATATATATATATATATATATATATGTACACATACATATATGTGTGTGTATATATATATATACACACGTATGTGTGTGTGTGTGTGTGTGTGTGTTTGTTGAATGAAGTGTATTTAAGGAAGTTAAACTATGTTGATTTTAATTATTAAGCTGTTTCTCACATCTGCCAGAATGTAATCTTCACATATTTTGATGTTGTTGGTTTACAGTCACGTATTAGTGCCAAAGTGCAATTGGCCAATCTTGTCTTCTTCAGAAAGGCTCTGAGAGAATTTTTTTCTAAAGAAAATGCTTAATTAGTTCTTATTGATAGTGTACATACTCTTTAGCTAATCTTCTTGCTGTGAAAATCAGCTTTTAGATATACCTAAATGAGACAGTTTCGTATATTTCCACATATCCATAATATTCATGCATGGGATTAGAAAATGTCAGAGCCTTGCTGTTCTATATTAAAGTATATTTTAATTGCCCAGTAATCAAGGAAAGTTAAATTCTAATTAGTATGAACTTCGTACCTGATTCACAGGTATTTTATGATAAATCTAACTTCAGTGTTTGTCTAAAACATTTTAGTATACTAGAATCACAGCATCATAGGACCTGAAAGGGCAGGAAAGAGTATTTAGTTCCACTGTCTTATTTTACAGATGAAGAGACTGGAATCCAGGGCTGCTAAATGACTTATCCAGGGTTACACGAAAATAACACTTTCCCATTGTTGACACTCATTTGTAAGGACCCTTGAAGAATGTTGAGAAAAGGCCTCTTAGTAACTAGTGAAGTAAATTTGAAGAATAAATAAATCTGATTCCAGATAAAATTCTTTTTAATTTGTGACTCAAAGAAAGGCTACAGTTGTAGCTGAAGAAAGGGCAGGATATAAAATATAAAATTAATAGAATTCCCCTGCATTGCCAATAACACATTTAATACATTAAGCTCCATAGTGACTTGTTAGGCTTCTGAGCACATTAGCTTTTTGAATCAAGGCTTCAGAAGTTGCCCTCAGGTAATCTAGTAAGAAGAAAGAAGAAAAAAATAAATTGCACAGATTGGAAAGTAGGGAGAGAAATCTCAGAAATCCACTGGTACGTACTCTTTTTCATCAGAACCACAGTGTATTTTTGAAGTTGGTATATAATGAAGAGAGCTGCAAATTAAGAAAATATTTCATTTATGGCTCTAAATTTTTTGAATAAAAACTAGAAACCATAATATATGTTGGAGTATATTTATTAGTATGTAATTTTCCCCTGGGTTTTGTTTTGGTCATTCTCTTTCAGAGTGAGCATCAATACTCCATTTTTCTACCTTACCTGCCCTTTGAATAAACCTGAACTTGCACTGATGATGTTAAACATGTTTGAACACTTGACCACAACATACCCCATTAACCCTGCATGGAAGCAACCCATCTGACAACCAAACTCTGGGTTGTTATTTGGAAGCCGAAATATGCATCATGAGTGCATTTGCGCATTACCTGTTACATAAGCACAGCAAATGCTTGGTGATACATTAAAGTTCCTGCTTGACAATATGATCTTTAATATGCAGACACATATCACCTGATACTAGGTAATTGTATGGAAATTATGAGAAGTAATGGGGGAGAAAGTATAAAATGGTGACTTTTCTAGTATAGGGATTATTTTACTGACTCTTGGAGTCAGACAGTTTTAAAATACTATAGTTTATATAGGTAGCTGGAAGAATCAAATATTTATTATGTTGATAATTAACTGTCTGAATTGAGATGAATAGTTTATAATTTACAGAAACTCCAGGCTTTCTAGAGATGATATCCTTAATTAATGTCATTCATCTATGAAACAGTTCTCAAACTCCACAGTCATTTTCTCTACAAATGAATTACATTATGTGGATTTTGATGGCTGGGAGATAAGTCCTTGAATGGAGGAACCAAGAGGTGAGTTAGAGGCATAAACTAAGGAATTTCAGTTAGTAGGGTTTAGGAGTGACAGTCTAGAATGAGTGGAGACTAGGAGATTCATCTTGATGCAAGCATACTTAGATCCATGTTACTCAGGATAGCATAGGTGAGAGAGGAGCTGGTAGAATTTTAATGTCATACCTGGGTAGTACAACTGGTTATTATTAAAACATGGTAAAACTTGAAGCAGGTAAAAAAAAAAAGAAAAAGAAAGAAAGAAAATCAGTGCATACAGGGCAAAGACAAGTACTTGGTCGCAGCATTCAAAATCTTGACCCAGTTGGCCTATGCATCCTTATCTCTCACTGTGCACCCTTGACTCTCCCTTAGACTCAGTTTTTATGTGACGTGGGTAACTCAGTAGTATCAATCTCATAGAGTTGTTCTGCAGATTAAATACATAATACTTACATAGCAAATAGACAGTGCTTGATATCATTTACTAAGTGCTTGATGAAGATGAGCTACCATTCTTCCTTTTCCTCAACTCCTCCAGAAGTAAGCTGTGAATTCCAAGTAGATCACTTTACCCTTTTTTGACCAAATGCTGCTCACTCCTTTTTGTTTTTAGGCCAATGCTCAGGTGGTTCCCACAGCTGGAGTGACCCTCTTCACTTCCTGTGTGCCTCGCTCAGCCCATTCCCACTTGACACGACCTGGCTCAAGTCCCACTCCCTCCAGGATGACTTCCTGACCACCAGAGCCCCTAGGGGGCGACATCTTCCTCGAAATCCCTCTAATTACCATGAACATAATGGAGGCACCGACTTTTGTTGTCCATTGTATTGAATGATATCTTTTAAATTACATGTAGATAAATGCTTTGTCATACTACTAACTAAACAGCATGTTCCCTTTCTTTTGAGACAGGGTCTTGCCCTGTCACCCAGACTGGAGTGCAGTGGCACAATCATAGCTCACTGCAGCCTCAAACTCCCTGGGCTCAAACGACCTTCCTGCTTCAGCCTCCCAAGTTACTGGGACCACAGGCATGTGTCACAATAGCTGGCTTTTTTTTTTTTTTTTTTTTTTAATAGTAGAGGTGAGAACTTGCTATGTTGCCCAGGCTGGTCTTGAACTACTAGGCTCAAGTGATCCTCCCGCCTTGGCCTCCCAAAATGCTGAGATTACAGGTGTAAGTCACTATGCCCAGCCAGCATGGTCCTTAAGGGAGAGATTGTGGGATATAATTCTCTGTGGCCTCCAAACTGTTGAGTATTACCTCTTGCAGAATGGTGTGTGGAATAAGCAATAACCTTTGGAGTCAGACAGTGCCTGATTGGAATTCCTGACCTGCCACTTACTTGCTATGTCATCTCGGGCAGTGTACCTTTCGTGAGCCTTAGTTTTCTTATCTGCAAAATGAAAACACTCGATATAATTTTGTGAAAATCAGACATAATGTATATTAACTTCATAGCACAGTGCAGGGCACAAGTAAATGCTTAATGATATTATTGCTATTATTCAGAATATCAGTGGATGTTTCTTTCCTTAACTGACCAATAGATAATAGCAAAATCATGTTTCCCCCACCCCCCCAAAAAAGGAAGAAAAGACATTTTAAAAATATTTTCAGATATCAAAGAATCTTTTGCCATCTATTATGAAAGTTATAAAAATAAGTAGGTTAAGATTCTTTACCATAAAAATCTCAAACTATTAAGCCTCTATCAACAGATAACCTTGCCTGCCTTTAATAATTAGTACTTAAATTTGCTTGGCACTGTTTTAGGTATTTGGGACACAAAAATGAATAAAAAGTCCCCCAGCCACATAAAACTTACATTCTGCTGAGAGAGATGGATTATGAACAAATAAATATACCATATAATGTTAAGAATGATAAGGTATATGAAGCAAAGCAAGCAATAGACAGTGAGAAGCTGTGGTGCAGGGGTCAGGAGAGGCTATCTAGATTGGGTGCTAGGAATGTCCTCTCTGAAGAACATCTTCAGATGTGACATCTAAAGATGTGAACATGTCTGAAGAAGTGACATTTGGTCAGAGACATGAATTAGGCCAAAGCCATGTGATAATGGTGAGAAACTATTCTAAGCAGAAGAATAGCAAGAGTGAAGGCACTGAGTTGAAATGGATTTGACATGTTCCAGAACAGTTAGGAGGCCACTGTGGCGGAGCAGAGGACGCTCAACAGAATGAAGAGATCTCAGGGTTCCTAGAGCGCCTTATAGGTGATGATAAAGACTTTAAGCTTTGTTCTAAGTGAAATAGGAGACCACTGGGGTTTTGAAAGGACATCATATGTTTTATTGAGAAGACTGTGAGCGACCACTTCACAGCTGTTAGGATGGCTATTAATAAAGAGGAAACTAACAGGTGTTAGTGAGGGTATAGAAAAATTGGAACCCTTGTGCTTTGCTTGTGGGAATGTAAAAGGGTGCAGCAGCCATGCACAGCAGTTTGGTGATTCCTTAAAAAGTTAAACATACAATTGCAAGTAATCCAGCAATTCCATTTCTGGGTATAAAAAAATTGGAAGCAGGGACCCAAACAGATACTGGTCATAACAGCGTTATTCACAATAGCCAAAAGGTAGAGACAACCTAGATGCCCATCTGTCATCCATGAATAAGGATAAAGTGTGTGTGTGAGTGTGCATGTGTGTATATGATCGTGCGTGTGTGTGTGTCAGCATTAGAAAGCAATGAAATTCTGATACATGCTACAATGTGGATGAATCTTGAAAACTTTATGCTAAGTGAAATAAGACAGACAGACATAAAAAGACGAATATTGTATGATTCTACTTATATGAGGCACCTAAAGTAGGCAAATTCATAGAGACAAAAAATATAGTAGAGGTTACCAGGGCTAAAGGAAGGGAGGGGTCAGGGAGTTAATATATAGTGGAAACAGAGTTTCTGTTAGGATGATGAAGAAGCTCTACATGTAAATATTGGTGATGGTTACACAATAGTGTGACTGTACTTGGTGCCACTGAATTGTACACTTAAAAACAGTTAAAGGGGTAAATTTCATGCTATGTATATTTCATTACAATTACAAATAAAAGACTGGGGGGAAGGAGTAAGGGTGTGGGAGCAGGGATTCCAGTTAGATCCTATAGCAGGTAGCCAGATAAGAGATGAGTATGGCAGTGAAGATGGAAGTATTCAAATTTGAGATACGTTTTAGAGGTTGAGCCTGTAGGTCCTGTATAAGCTATAGAAGAGAATAATCATGAGGGACCCCTGTTTTTGTTCTGGACTGCCAGGAGAGAAGTGGTTATTTCCTGAGACAGGGAAAACTGGGAAAGGAGTGGGTTTGGGGAAAAGCATCACTAGTTCAGCTTTGGGCATGTTAAGTTAGAGTTATCTGCTTGACACACAAGTGGAAGGCCTAAAAGATATACGAGTCTGGAGCTCAGGGAAGGGAGAGTTTGAAATAGATTTGAGTGACATACAAAAAGGTATATGAAACACACCATGCGAAACATGGGAATGAGCAAGATCACTCAAGGAAGAGTTGAAACAGAAAGGAGAAACGGCTGGAGGACTGAGCTCAGGGAACCTCCAACATTGAGAGGTCAAGAGGGAAGGGGGTATGCAGATGTGTGATGTGAGATGTTTTTCCTTAATATTAGGCAACTATCTATTGAGCAACTCCTCTGCCAGCCACTGTTTCAGGTGCTTGGAATAACAAGTACCCATAAGGCAGCTCTTACTGCTTATTATCTGTGTTCTTGGGTGAGTTACTTAACATGACTGAACCCCAGATTTCTCTCTCATCTGTAAAATGGGGTTAAACAGCCAGGCACTGTGGCTCATGCCTGTAATCCCAGCACTTTGGGGGGCCGAGGTGGATGGATCACCTGAGGTCAGGAGTTTGCGACCAGCATGGCCAACGTGGTGAAACCCCGTCTCTACTAAAAATACAAAAAAAAAAATTAGCCAGGTGTGGTGGTGGGTGCCTGTAATCCTTGCTACTCAGGAAGCTAAGACAGGAGAATCACTTGAACCCGGGAGGTGGAGGTTGCAGTGAGTCGAGATCACGCCACTGCACTCCAACCTGGGCAACAAGAGCAAAACTCCCTCTCAAAAAAAAAAAAAAAAATAGGGTTAATAATTACAGTTAACACAAAGTGAAACAGCAGTTACTGCAGTCATTTCCCAAATATTTACCTCCTTACGCAAAGTATTTTATTTTCATAACCCTAATTCTTTTTATAACCCCACAAAGTATAGATGCTATTGTTTTATAGGAAAAGAAACCAAAGCTTAGGAAAGGTGTTAAATTTCTCTAAGACATAGCTAAAAATGCATTGGTAAGATTCTTCCTCTGATAGTCCTGAACTCACATCTTTCAGTCCCTTCACTCTTTCAAGCTATTCTCATATGTAAAACACTCAGCAGGCTGCCTAAGGCCACAGTTTGTGCTTTAGAACTTGTTTCTTTCATCCATTTGTCCTTCCCTCCACTTAAGTGCATCTCTTTGAGGTCCTGAAAAACAAACTCCTATAATTAAAAACAATCAGAAAAGCAATCACCTAGGTCATCAAGTATGTAAACTGCCAACTATAAACTTAGTAATATCCCTAAAAGAATTTAATGAATGTTAAATGACTGAATAAACAAAAACTATGCTTTTTTTTTTTTTTTTTGTCTAATTTCCTCTACCATGGACCCGGCCTTTAGAATTACACATTGGACAACATTTAATGAAATTCCATTACCATTAAGTTTATTTTATGAGCTTTCTTTTATAAAATCCATTTAAGTTATTTCTGGAAATACTTCCTTATTACCTAGTTTCTACTATTTTTTTAATTATTACTTGTCTAGCAAATGAAAGTGCTACTCGGTTGTCATTTAAACATAAATGTATTGTTTACATATAGATTAATTTTAATCATTAGCTTTTATCTTGGCACTTTTCCTGTGGACTCCAAGTTGGCTAATGATGTTATCCTGGCCATCCATGCTCAGCTGCTGGGGACACCATTCGCTCCTCTCTCGCCCTTATCCCCGGTTATCCAATCAGTTACCAAGAACTGACTGTTCTACTTCTGAAATTCCTTGGAATTGGTCCCCTCTGATTCATATTTAAAGACACTACTTTGGTTCAGGTAGACTCCACTTACTTGAGTGATGGCAATAGATAGCTCAGTGATTGATAAAGGCCTTGACTTTAATCACCTTCTCACCGTGGAAGCTTACTGTCATAAGCCAGAATTTTCCTTCTAAAACTAAAAAAACGAAACAGAACAAAACAAAATCATGGCACTTCCAGGACCTACACATTGAACTTCTTGTAAGGAAACATTCAGTCTGTCATACGTGGCCCTGGTCATCCTGTCTGCCCTATATCATCCTCTTCTGCCCACCCACCCATTAGGAACCCTGTTTGTTAGACAATTTGGTATTAAGATTAACTGTGAGCTATTTTATCTCCATAATTATAAATTCTCTCTTCCGCCTTCTCTTTACCACCGACACATCCACATACCAGTATTCTTCAAGACTTATTTGTTGGTGTCCTCTATTAAGCTTGCCCTGACTTTCCAAACAGAATCAGACACCCCCTCCCTTGACTCCCATAACACTTCATTACACCTCTCTTTATCACATATCATTTTTTGCCTGATATAATTATTATTTACATATATAATAAGTTGGGGGGAGTTTTTGTCATCTTAGTAGCTGGCACCAGATTCCTCCAGAACAAAATTCTTGGTGTGGAAAACGTGCCCTCTGAAAGGCTTGGAGGTAAACTATGAGCTGAGCCCTGCCCGTACTTCCTAGCCAGGGACCTGGATATAACCTGCCACCAAGGTTTTTGGAGGGCAAAGCTGTTATACTTTTGCCAAAGGAATGAAGCTGTTGTTCTTCTTTTGCGTACAGTTGAGATGGGGGTGGAGTAAGAAATCAGAGAAGAGAGCTGAGAGCTCCCCAGCAAGATGCAAAGAGCCTGAGGCTGGGTGAGACCAGTGAGCAGCACAGAGGCAGTCAAGAGCATTTTACAGACAGAAGGAGCACCGGGCAAAGATAGTGAAGCTCCAGGAGTCCCTCGGCATCTGTCTTTGGAGAGAGGGCTTACTAGACCCTCAGATGGGTTTATGTAGTTTTTGAAGAAGGTGCTCTTGAAGAAGGTGCTAACTTGATGCTAGAGGCCAAGGTCGTTCTGAGAACTAAAGTCCCAGAAATGTACATACATCCTGGAGGGGGCTGGGAAGGAGGCTTTACACTTCCACATGTCGTAGATTTGAGCAAAAATTTGAGTCATTTTTCATTCATTTGAGGTGGAGAGCTGTCCACGTTCTACACTTTACTAGATTATCAAGTTGCTAAGGATGCCTTTGCGTGTTCACTTGCTTCCCTATGGTGAACTTACAGAAAATAATTGTTATTGTATTTTATTGAGTCACTACTGTTAAGATGAAAAATACCTACACAGCTGACTGCTACTAATCTACTACTCTCATGTTACTGATTTTCTCAGCAGGAAAAAGCCATGTTAAAAAACCAACAGTGCATATAATATTTAATCATCAATAAATATGGTACAGGAGGTTTAACATTATCATCTTGACATTTTTAAGATTTTGGAAAGATGAAATGTAGGAAGAGGAGTAGAGACAAGAGCTCTCAGATTTATCATTCCTTAGCAATTAACCACTCCAGGCTATGCTTTCCTCACCTATTTCTCAGCTGTAAGATTGCCAGTAACAGTACCTACCCTGCCTGCTGTCAAGTACTTTTTCTGACAATCTTCTAAGCTTATGTTTGGTGCTATAGAAGCCATTATTATACCATGCAGTATTTTACAGTATACACTGAGAGTATTGTAAACAGTACAGTTCACTTTGAGATTTGAACAGAAATACCTAGCAATATGCTCAGATCCTGAGAACTTTAGACAGTGTGTGGCCAATAATGCAGAAGAGTGAATCTGGGAAAGTAAATAACACATGATACTTTAAAACTTGCAAAGTTCTTGTTTGATCTTTCTTCACAGGTAAATAGGGATGGGCCAGGTCTGTGTATTCAGTGGACATCATGGCCGTGAAACTTTAGTGATATGAAAAGTTCTAGGTAAGAGCAGGGCTGATAGCATAAAAATATAATAAAGAGCAGCTCTGCCAAAGTGGACTAAAAGCAGAACTGAGGTTACAAATATCAGCAAATGGGAACAGTTGACATAGTAAGGAATGGATCTTAGTGTAAACATGGTGCCATGAAGCCCAAGGTTAATGAGAAGCCCAGAACTCTTGCTAACTTATTCTTTGATACCAGCATTATCCTAATAACCAAAACCAGACAAAGACCTCACAAGAAAACTACATGCCAGTATCCCTTATGGGTGGAGACTCAAAAGCCTTCAACAAATTACAAGCAAACTGAGTCCAGCAACATATAAAAAGGATTACCTACCATGAGAAGGGGGACTTACCCCAGAAACGAGGCTGATTTGACATGTGGAAATCAATGTAATACACCACATTAATAGAGAAAACCACGTTTATCTTGATAGACACAGAAAAGGCATTTGACAAAATCCAACATCCTTTTGTAATGAAAACACTCAGTACACTAGGAATAGGTGGCAGTATCCTCAGATAAAATGCATCTATGAAAAACTCATGTCTAACATACTTAATGGTAGAAGACTGAGCACCTAACCCTAAGATCAGTAGCAAGACAAGATGTCCATACAGGACTTTCACTCAACATTCTAGCCGAGGCAATTAAGAAAAAGAAATGTAGATTAGAAAGGAAGAAGTAAAGCTATCTCTATTTGCAGTTGACATGATCTTGTATATAGGAAATCTAAAGGGCGCCTCCCAAAAAGTATTAGAGCTAATAAATGAGTTTAACAAGGTTACAGGACACAAGATGAATAAACAAACATTCATTGCATTTCTGTATACTAACAGTGGACAATCTAAAAATTAATTTAAGAAAACGATTTCATTTACAATAGCATGAAAAAGAAGAAAATACCTATGAACATATTTAACAAAAGATATGTAAGGCTTGAACGTTGAAAACTACAAAACATGGTTAAAAAAATTTTTTTAATTAAACGGAAAGATGTCCTATATTCATGGTTTGAAAGACATAATGTTGGTAAGATGGCAGCAGTCTACAATTTGGTTTTCATCCAAATTTCAGCTGCATTTTCTTTTACAGAAATCGATGATGGCTGGCCACGGCGGCACACGCCTGTAATCCCAGCACTTTGGGAGGCCGAGGCGGGTGGATCACCTGAGGTCAGGAGTACGAAACCAGCCTGGCCAACATGGTGAAACCTTGTCTCTACTAAAATACAAAAATTAGCCAGGCATGGTGTTGCACGTCTGTAATCCCAGGTACTCAGGAGACCGAGGCAGGAGAATCACTTGAACCCGGGAGACGGAGGTTGCAGTGAGCCAAGATCACGCCACTGCACTGCAGCCTGGGCCACAGAGTGAGACTCCATCTCAAAAAAAAAAAAAGAAAGAAATTGATGAGATGATTCTTAATTTTATGTGAGAACAATCTGAGGGGGGAGAATAAATTGGGAGGAATAATGTTTTCCAATTTAAAAACTGATCCTAAAGCTATAAAATTAAGACATTGTGGTACTGAGATAATTATACATAGACAAATCCATGGAATAGAAGTAAGAATCCAGGAATCAACCCTTACATTTATGGTAAATTGGTTTTGTCAGTGGTGTCAAGACAATTCACTGAGGAAAGAATAATCTTTTCAACAAATGTTGCTGGGATAACTGAATATCCCCATGCAAAAGAATGAAATTGGACTCCTTCCTTTCTTATACCATACGCAAAAATGAACTCAACAATTGATCATGTATCTAAATGTAAGAGTCAAAGCTATAAAAGTCTTAAAACATAGGAGTAAATCTTTGAGACTTTATGTTAGTCCAAGCCATCTTACAGCACCAAATATTTATCACAAAAAATAATAAAGTGAACTAAATCGAACTTCAAAATATTTGAGAATTATATATCTGATAAGGGACTTGCATCCAGAATATATAAAGAAATCTTACAACTCAGCAATAAAAAAACAAAACAGTTTACAAATGGTCAAACATTTCTCCAGAGAAGGTATACAAATGGCCCATGAGCACAGGAAAAAATTCTCAACATCATTAGTCATTAGGGAAATGCTCATCAAAACTACAGTGAGGTACAACTTTACAACCTCTAGGATTGCTGAAATTAAAAAGACTGACATTATGCGTTGGTGAGGATGTGGAAAAATTGGATCTTTCTCACAATACTGGTTAAATTATAAAATGGTACAACCACTTTAGGAAACAGTCTGGCAATTCCTTAAAATGCTAAGCATAGAATTATCGTATGACCTAATAATTCTACTCTTAGGTATGTAACCAAGAGATCTGAAAACATATGTCTACACAAAAACTGTTCACAATGTTTATAGCAGTGTTATTCATAATAGCCAAAAAGTGGAATCAACCCAAATGTCCATCAACTAAATAAACTAAATGTGATGTCCATAAAGTAAATGTGATCTATCCATAAATGGAATATTATTTGACTATAAAATGAGTGAAGTATTGATGCATGCTACAATGTGGATGAGCCCTGATGACTTTATGCTCAGTGAAAGAAGGCAGACACAAAAGGCCATGCATTATATGATGCCATTTCTATTAAATGTCCAGAATAGACAAATTCTTAGAAAGTAGATTAGTCCTTGCCAAGGACTAGGAGGAAGGCAGAATGGATGCTAATGAGTATGGGGTTTTCTTTTGGGGTGATGAAAATGTTTTGGAGTCAGATAGAAGTAATGATTGTATAACAATATGAGTGTACTGAATGCCATTGAATTGTACACTTTATAAGGATGACTTCATGATGTGTGAGTAAAGTTATTAGCCACAAAAGAAAGAAGGAACATAATATTAAGAAGTGCTGGGGATGTATTGGACATTGGGTCAGCTTTACCTTACTCTAAACTAATTTTCATGAAAACTCCATTCAGTAATTACTATTAAAAACCCACTTGAAGCTGGGCACGGTTACTCACGCCTATAATCCCAGCACTTTGGGAGGCCGAGGCGGGCGGATCACCTGAGGTTGGGAGGTCATGGAGAAACCCCGTCTTTACTAAAAACAATACAAAATTAGCTGGGCATGGTGGCACATGCCTGTAACCCCAGCTACTTGGGAGGCTGAGGCAGGAGAATCGCTTGGACCTAGGAGGTGGAGGTTGCAGTGAGCCGAGATAGCACCATTGCACTCCAGCCTGGGTAACAAGAGTGAAACTCCATCTCAAAAAATAAATAAATAAATAAATAAATAAATAAATAAATAAATAAATAAATACATTTTGAAATATGGGAATCTAAAACTCCAAGAGTTTAAATGCCCAAGATACCATAGCTAACAAGTTATAATAGCTGTAATTCATGTTTGTATTTTCAGACTACAAGTCCTATGTTATTTTAATTAGCATGTTAAGTCCTATAAATGGAATAGTGATATTTGACCAAGAGAATGAGGCTATTAGTACAAGGAGCTTCCACCACAAAAATCAAAATCCTTATTTTGTCTTTTTTTTTTTCCTTAAAGATATTATGAGCTTATTGATCACAGAACTTTAGAAGTCTCCAAATTAAAACCCAGGTTTGACTATCACATAGTTTTCTCCATTTTAAAGAGAAGCATATTCTATTTTTTTGTTTTTGTTTTCTTGTTTATCATTATAAGTTTCCTTAGTTCAGAAAATATTTCATAATACCTACATTTAAAAAATTACTGGCCCGGCGTGATGGCTCACGCCTGTAATCCCAGCACTTTGGGAGGCCAAGGCAGGCAGATCACGAGGTCAAGAGATCAAGACCATGCTGGCGAACATGGTGAAACCCCCGTCTCTACTAAACATACAAAAATTAGCTGGGTGTGGTGGCGGGCGCCTGTAGTTCCAGCTACTCAGGAGACTGAGTCAGGAGAATAGCTTGAACCCAGGAGGTGGAGGTTGCAGTGAGCTGAGATTGCACCACTGCACTCCAGCTTGGCAACAGAGCAAGACTCCGTCTCAAAAAAATAAAAAATAAAATACTATATAAAATTAAAACCTTGTAGTTTTGTGTTTCAAATCTTATAATTAGAGTGGCAAATAAGCCACAACCAATCCTAGGCTATTGTATCCGAGTTTTCTAGCAGCCAAAGCAAAAAAAAGGAAATAGCGTAAGTGTGTAGTTCTAACTATCTGATGTAAAAAGAAAGAATATCAGTGTTGCCAAGCAGATTTTCCTTCCTACTAAGTAAAAGTACCACACAGATCTTTCTACAACATCATTGGAAAGCGGAAAAGTCTTAGCTCTAGGGGTCAAGAAACCCACTGTTTAGCTCTAACTGCCCCTGTTTAGCTGTGTGAGCTTCGAGCAGTAATTAGTCTAATCTTTCTGAGCCTTAGTTTTCTCATCTTCTAAATGTCTTTAAGATATGAATTTGAGTCATATTGGTATACCTCTCTACTTTTCCAGTGTTAATTTCACAGAGTATTCAAAGAGTAAGGAAAATTTTCAGGAACAAAATCAAAAGCGGGTAAAATATTATCTGTCTCAGGTGGGAAGATTTTTCTTTTCCTCCAGAATTCAAATACCTGGACATCTTATGATGAGAAAAATCCCTACATGTGGCCTCAGACAGTCATTCTGGTAACACAGACTCAAGTGGAAAACTACCAATGAGTTCTACTTGGTCTGATTTATATAATCCTACCCAAGCAATAAAAACTTTCAATAATTCATGTTAACTTAAGTACTACATCAGGCCCCAGGTGTGATGTTCCCCTCCCTGTGTCTATGTGTTCTCATTGTTCAACTCCCACTTATGACTGAGAACATGCAGTGTTCAGTTTTCTGTTCCTGTGTTAGTTTGCTGAGAATGATGGTTTATAGCTTCACCCATGTCCCTGCAAAGGACATTAACTCATTTTTTTATGGCTGCATAGTATTCCATGGTGTATATGTGCCACATTTTCTTTTTCCAGTCTATCATTGGTGGGCATTTGGGTTGGTTCCAAGTCTCTGCTATTGTAAATAGAGCTGCAGTAAACATAACGTGTGCATGTGTCTTTATAGTAGAATGATTTATAATCCTTTGGGTATATACCCAGAAATGGTATTGCTGGGTCAAATGGTAGTTCTGGTTCTAGATCCTTGAGTAATCACCACACTGTCTTCCCCGATGGTTGAACTAATTTGCACTCCCACCAACAGTGTAGTGTTCCTATTTCTCCGCATCCTCTCCAGCATCTGTTTCCTGACTTTTTAATGATCGCCATTCCAACTGGCATGAGATGGTATCTAATTGTGGTTTTGATTTGCATTTCTCTAATGACCAGTGATGATGAGCTTTTTTTCATGTTTGTCGGTCACATAAATAGACATGTATAAGACTCTTCACTCTTGAGTAGCTTAAAGTTTAACTGTAGTCAAATAAGGATAACTTATTTTTAAAATTTAGCATGATTCTAGAGAGTCCCCAAATCAGATGTGTTCAAGAGCCACATGGATAAGATAAAGTGCTGTTCTCATAAAGCAATAGGGCATGGGTTGGGCCCATGCCAGAATGAGGAGGGCAGGGCTTACCCTTAAGGCATTCCGATTAAAATAATTAATCCTATTCTGACCTAGAAAGTTTTTTTTTTTAAGGTTTATGTAATCCACCAAGCTATCACTTCTGGCATAAAACATAATTTAAACCCCGGTATTTTCTGAAGAAATTCTGTGGGAAAATCCCTCTAAATATTTAAGTATGTTATGTGTCTTCCATTCAGTGGGTATGTCTAGTATAATCCAGAAATCCATACCTGTTTCAGAACCCTCGTTTCATCCTACATTATTAATTGATCTCATGGGATAAAGTCTTCGCAATGCATAGGACATTCCCCACAGAGTAGCTATTTTGAATAGATACTCTATATCTGAAATAGGCATTTTTTTGTTAGCCAACAATCCTCTTTCAACTTGTAGTCTAATTTCATCATAAAAGTTTGATAATATAGCCAACCAGAACAGACTGTTAATGATTCGTTTTTTTCTATTTTGATTCTCTTTAAACATTTTGCCTAATACAGCTTATGATCTTGCTTGCTGAAATATGTTGAAACAAAAAGAACAGAAAGCTTGTCATACTTTTAAGTTTTTTAACGGTCTAGAAAGTGATGTGGAAAAATACTTAGTGGCTGCTGTTATATTTAAGTAAAATCATGAAATACTGTGAATCCATCCCCAGGGCACCCCTTGGGCGCCCAAAAGGCTCATTTGTAAACCATTATCTTTTAATTAGTTTAGTAGGAAACTTTGTTTATTAAAGTAAAACAATAATTAAATATGCATTTTAGACGCATTCTGTTCATATGGAAAACTTGCCAAACGCTAGTTTGAATAGATGTTAAGATTGAGCTTTTTGACGCATTTTAGCAAACGTATTTCTCTTGATTTATACATTTTGTGAAAACGTTTTTATTGAATCCAAATTAGAACATGATATAATGTCTCAGTCACAGCTTCTGAAAAGGGTGGCAACTACTAATCTTACAATTTCAATCTGTTCAAAAGTAGTTTTCTGTGAAATGCTACAGACAGGAGTGAGAGAGGAACTTGATGCCTGTGAATCTGCTCCACCTCCGAATGTAGCTGCTGGGGATTTGGTAGTAAATGTATCTAAACACTGCTTTTTCCCTAATTAATATCATAGGAGAGACATTGACATGGTTTGACAGGCACTAGAGTCTGTTGTAGTATGGAAGATAAATATGAAGATTCCTGCCTCTGAGAGCCATCTGCTGGTTAAGGGAAAGCCTACAAAGAAATGCAGATATCTGGCTTGTTCATGTGAATAGAATCTGTCTTACTGAGATTTATGTAAATCCTGATTAACTGAAAGTCTCATCCACTCTTGCTCTGCTTGTGGTCTTGATGATTCATTCCCAGGGTGGTGTTTGATTCACTAACAAAGAAGTCATTCTACCTACAGGTATTCTGTGGCAGAAGTTAATTCAGAATTCTGTAGGTGATGTTCAATGTCTTATTTTAAATAATATGAAACCTTAGAAACAGTACAAAATATACTTTGTAAACTGAATGCTCCCACTTCCCTTAAGGTAATTCTATCGTGCAACCAACTCAATTCTTTTTGGTACAATTGTAAATAAAGTGGAATGTCAGGGAAGGGACTAATTTTGTGGCATTAATGGTCAAGGAAGACATTAGCATATACCACTGCCAAACTCAGCCTTTAAAAAACATTTCCCTTGGAAATACATAGTTTATAACAACTTTAAGAAAATATGTACTGGGTAGGCATAGTGTCTCATACCTATAATCCCAACACTGGGACGCCGAAGTGGGAGGATCACTTGAGGCCAGGAGTTCAAGACAGGCTAGGACAACACAGCAAGACCCTTTCTCTACCAAAAAAAAAAAAAATTAACTAGGCATGGTGGCATGCACCTGTAGTCCTAGTTCCCAGGAGGCTGAGGCGGAAGGATTGTTTGAGTCCAGGAGTTTGAGGCTCCGGTGAGCTATGATTCTACCACTGCACTGCAGCTTGGGCAACAGAATGAGTTCTTGTCTCTTTTTAAAAACAAGATGAAAGGAGAGAAAAGAAAATACTTTCTTTGGTAGATTAATAGTAAGTGTACTGAATGCCCATCTGACAGTACTTACAGAACGGTTTACCTTTTTAAAATTCTCCAGAGAAAAGTATATGTCTTATCGTTGCAGGCTATATTCAATAACACTTATGTGTGCTGTTGTTTTATATAATTGGGTTAAAGGGGAAATTTAAATGCTATAGATATTTTGTTGCTTTTTCCCCTTCTATCATATGTTGGTTTGTAATACCTGTATCTTCATCTGAATAAGCATAACATTGTAATTAAAATTGAGTTCTGGAATCAACCACTCAGGTCTGAGTTTTAGTGTAGCCGCAGACTTTGTCTTGGCCTTGGCCTTAACCTCTCTGTGCCTCAGTTTCCTCATCTGTAAAAGAGGGATACAGTGTACAGGGATAGTAGTGTCAATCTCAGAGGGTTGCTCTGAAGCTTAAGGCATTTAGGTCGGTGCCTGACACCCACTAAGCATTCTGTAAATATCATTGTTATCCTCAGCTGTGGCCCTTGGAATTCTGTTGTGATTGCGTGTGTGAATTTACTAAAGCTCCTTCAATTCCAGTGTTTTCTGCTCTGGTTTTTAAATCTGGGATGTGTATGTCTTCTTTCCAGGCTTGAAAGATTGTCCTGGCCTTTTTAATTTTTTTTTAACTCCTGTAAAAACTCCAGTTTCAGTGAAGGACATCTCATCATGCTAAGGTCACACATGACGAGTGGTCTTTTATTACCGGCTGATTACAGTTATCCCTAATTTCTTTCATGGCAGCCATGTGGCGCCTTCCATTTAAATAGAGCTGTTCTTGGATGTGACTTTTTGAGCCTCTCTGGGTTTAATTCTAATTTAACTTGCCATTCCAAGTGGGACTATTGTGCAACCAAAGTCATGATTCACTCATTTGTTCTCTCTAGATCTAATTATTACAACGTGGTACCTGTGAGGCCCCCTCAGGTGTTCATTCACTACTCTAAATGGTCTAACCTTCTGGGGAAAGAAGTGGGCCTTTAGTTATTATTCTTTGGGGCTGTACAGATATATTTAGTACGGGATTTGGGAACACAGTTACAAGTGTTTTACCTCTACCATTTTCATCATACCAAGCTTATTACTAATGATTATGCAAAGAATGCTCTACTGGTGTATGCAGTAGTTACTTGCACATTCCCATTCTTTATAAAAAGGCCAGTTTTTGAAGCACAGAAGTCAGGTTGCATATACCTGTGAGGATTCTTCAGGTGCCTTCTGAACAAAGGGCATGTTGCTCAGAAAGCATAGGTAAGGCAGAGTGAAAACACCCAGCTGTTCTGTTACCTAACACCCCTTCTTATGGACAGCCCTCGAGTGAGATGGGGCAAGATAATATTGCCAGGAGTAAGGGTCTTTCTCTCACTTTTTCCAGCTTATCTAAATGCCTGTTAGGGTCAAAAGAAAGACTTTTGTTATTTCATTCACCAGCATCCTACACATTTATCGGTGGCCTCCCACTGAGAAATTTAATTGTAAGCAATACTTTAGAACACACTGCTCTTGAACTTAGAGGAAATAATTGAGACATTTATATCTATGTGTTTTTAATGGTTACCCAGATTCCCAGATATTCACTAGCCACTTTGTGTAGCATTGAAAATATGAAACTTGGCCGGGCATGGTGGTTTATGTCTGTAATCCCAGCACTTTGGGAGACTGAGGCAGGATCACGTGAAGCCAGGAGTTCAAGATAAGCCTGGGCAACATAACAAAACCCCGTCTCCACAAAAAATTAAAACGTTAGCCAGGCATGGTGGCATGTACCTGTAATCCTAGCTACTCAGGAGGCTGAGGGGGAGGATCACTAGAGTCCAGGAGTTCAAGATTACAGTGAGCTATGATCGTGCCACCTAGGCCACCAGTCTAGATGACAGAGCAAGACCCTATCTCAAAAAAAAAAAGCAACTCGGGGAAATGGGCGTAGGAGTGTGGAATTGAGTGCCCATTGTCTGAAGACTTGGAATCAAAGTATCCTGGTAAGAATTAACCAATTAAGAATTAATAAATTACTTATAAAATTAAAAATCAGGAATACCAGGCTTAATGCATTCATTTATTCTATTTAGCAAACTTTTTTTTTTTTTTGAATGCCCACAATGTCCTAGGTTCTGGAAATACAAAATTACTTGGTACCAGTAACTCGACTGTCACCTTTCCAGCCATGGACTTGGTTCAGACAAACCCCCAGTCCACGGTTGTCGTCCACTTGCAGTGCCCGCCGACTGTGGATATATGCTGGGGATCCCAACACAACGCAGCACTCTTGGAGCTTGGACTGTCCTATCACCTTCCTGTGTTCTTCAGGTTCTTCTGCACTTCTGGTTCCCTGTTACCTCAGCTTCACTTACCTTCCTACCTTTCCACAAAAAGATCAAATCAGCAGTTCTGAAAGGCATAGGCTTAGCCAAGGATTCTTTGACATCTGAAGATATCTCTGCCATTTAGAAAGGGGAACCAAGGAGAAAATCTACCCATTGAATGTCATTTGAAAGCCAGCTTTACTGGGTACAACTATTCATTGCGTATATCCTTTTAAAAAATTATTTTTATTGTACAGATACCTTTAGGTATTTGTTCTTTATAATGTTCTAAAACATTTCAGTTAACTCTTTTTTTGAGACAGGTCTCGCTCTTTCACCCAGATTGGAGTGCAGTGGCATGATCTTGGCTCACTGCAACCTCCACCTCCCCAGCCTAAGCAATCCTCTCACCTCAGCCTCCCAAGTAGCTGGGACTACAGGCACATGCCACCACGCCCAGCTAATTTTTGTATGTTTTTGTAGAGACAGGGTTTCACCATGTTGCCCTGGCTGGTCTTGAACTCCTGAGCTCAAGGGATCTACCTACATCAGCTTCACAAAGTGCTGGGATTACTGGTGTGAGCCACCACGTCCAGCTAATTTTTGTGTGTTTTGGTAGAGACGGAGTTTCACCATGTTGGCCCAGGCTGGTCTTGAGCTTCTGAGCTAAGCGATCCACCTGTGTCAGCTTCCCTACGTGCTGGGATTACAGGCATGAGCCACCACACCTGGCCCACGTTTCACTGTAGAATGAGGAAAACCAGGGCTGAGGTCCTATAGACAATCCACTTGTCTTCATTTTGATGTAAATTCAGAACTCACAGTGAAGCAATTTCATGGCCTTCTGTAGCCTTTGTTTTTGTTTCTCTGCCTGCCCTATATTTAAGTGGTTGATGGGCTGTGTTGCCCGATTACTTCATTGGTCCCTAAAGAAACATTCATTATTGACTGAATTCTGATTTCAGGGTTTTTTTGGTTGGCTTTTCTTTTTTTTACGTTTCTCCTTATATACAGATAGCAAGATAAATAGCTAAAATCAATGGAACTCAGCAAAAACCTGTATGTGTGTGTTTATGCATAGTTACATTTAGACTTCTTTATATTCATGTGTGGAAAATATTACACAAAACAAAGTGTTCTTATAGACTTTAAGTTATAACTTGCAGAAAACAAATACTCTATCATTTTCTCACTTTTAAAAGATGTTAAACATTGTACAACACTATGAATGACTTCCTTTTTTTCAGGAAATAAAAGGAAGTGCCAAGATCAATATTTATTTTCATAACTACATATTCCAGAAATGAATTACTGTTGCTCTGTTATCACCACACAGTCTTACTTGTTCATGGGACTCAAACCCAGTGATAAAAATATACCTTGTCAGGAGTAACTACAGCTGTTCTTACATGAGGCAGGCCAGTCACACTGTTTTGACTCCTTTCACGATAGACTCCGATCCCTGCAACTGTGAGTCAATTATGTGGAAAACCACAGATCCACATTGATAAGAAAGCTGAAAAAAGTGGCTTGGCCATACATAACATATGTTCTTTCATTCTACTGTGGTAGATCTTGCATAAAACTGTTTGAGACACAGGTAGATAAATGTTGTTTATATTTGACCTTACCTAACAGAAAGCTTTGTTTGCCTAATTTATTAGTAAAAGGGAGAAGGTACACTGAAATCTGAAGACACGTGTGCAGAAAGAGACTTTCAGAAAAAATTCACTGGAGCAATATGAAAGTGCAAATTACAAGTAGTCTATATGTCCGTCACTTGGGAAATGGCAATGAATATTCACTGGACTCCTGCCATGTTTCATCTAATTCCATAGTTGGCAAGCTACAGCTCAAGGACAGAATACAGCCCACTGTTTTTTGGTTTGTTTATTTGTTTTGTAGAGATAGGGTCTCTCCTTCTTGCCTAGGTTGGTCTCAGATTCTTGGGCTCAAGCAGTTCTCCTGCCTCAGCTTCCCAAAGTGCTGGGATTACAGGCTTGAGCCACTGTGCCTGGCCAGCCCACTGTTTCTGTAAACAAAGTTTCATTGGAACATAACGACATTCATTTGTTTATATATAATCTATAGCTGCTTTCATGATACAGTTGCAGAATTGATTAGCTACAACATAAGACTGTGTGGCCCTCGGTGTTGAAATAAAATATTTACTATCTAGCCCTTTACAGCAAAAGTTCACTGACCCCCGATCTAAGTTAAAATGTCTTCAATTGTAAAATGCACCGTTACTTTATGTACCACTAATAAAAAAAGTTATGCCAGTAAAACTGTAATAAGCCATCAATTTTAAGAAGCATTCTGATTTTGGAGATGGTTAAAATATTTTAAAAATAGATCTTAAAATTGGTAAGTTATAAGTATATAGCACTTCAAATAAATGAATTATGGCATTTATATCGACATGGATGAATCTCAAATGTTAAATGTTGAATTAAAAAAAGGAATAAAACAATTTGCAGAATGATATAAACAGCATGATATTATTCATATGACTTAAAAAACACACAAAAAAAATGAATGTCTGTAAATGCAGATTTGTATAGGTAGACATAATTTAAAAGAATTGGAAAGAGGTAAAGAAAACTCAGGATAGAGGCTCTTCCCTGGAAGGAGGAGAAAGGACCAGGATAATGGTGGAAAACAAGGGGGGAATTGATCTTTATCAGTAATGTTCAACTTTTAAAAGAGGTGATTTACCAATAAAAACTAATTTTTAAAAGCATCAAAATGTGAACAAGCTGGAAGAAAATATGTCAAAATATTAACTGTAGTACATTTTGTAGAGTAGAAATATGAGTGACTGCTTTTTTATCATATCTCACTGTAATTTTAAAGAATGTCATGGTACTAAAAAAGATGAGTCATATTATTTCTGTCTCAATCAAAAGAGATTAAGATTTTTTTAAGTACATGTTAGTCAATTACCTGACATTATAAACTAATCCTGTTTTTCTACTGGGGCATTCAGATTAAACAATATGCAAGTTAGGGCCAAATTTCTTAGTTAAAACTTTTTTTTATAATGGTGGTACAGCTAATCTTTAAAGACAATGCACGTTATTCCTCACCACAAAGAAACTCCAACTAGAAAAGTTAAATGTCAGGTGCGTTTCACCAAACAGAAATAGCTTGTCATGATTCATGTTACTGATGTCATTTCTTTCAGCCTGACTCCCTTGTTTAGAAATGTACCTTGTGATTTTACAGGAGTTTCTATGTTGTCACATGCAGTGCAGACCCTCTTGTTACTTATTAAATGTATCATTTTGTCATTTGTCTATAGCAAGCCTTCTTAAAATATTCTCTATCAGGATATTCAGAAATTCAAAACTGTGAGATGGTAATTTACCCCTACCAGATTGTTTCTTCTGATAATGAGGAAATACTCACCTACCACTGCTTTCATTTACTTTCAGTTTTTGTTATTGTTGTTTGAAGCATGTCTTTCTCTCCCTTGGAGTGTTTTGCCGGAAATAACTCATGCTGCCTGCCTTTCAGGTTTCGAAAAGTGAGATCTGCCCAAGATAGTGGTAGCAAGAACTGTGGTCATGGTGGCCTTGAGTCTGTGAAGCTGTAGTGTCTGAGACAATGTTCCCATGCCACCAGAACCAAAATGGGGCGGTGTGCATCTCACCGTGTAACTCCACTTTTTCTTTTTCCAGTTCAATTTCACCATTTAGTATTGAGAGCACAAGACGCCAGAGACGGTCTGAATCCCCAGACTCCAGAAAACGGCGTATCCACAGATGTGATTTTGAGGGATGCAACAAAGTGTACACAAAAAGTTCTCACCTGAAGGCTCACCGGAGGACACATACAGGTACCGCTCTGCAGGGCTTCTCACCTGTGAGCCAGTGAGAGTCCATAAAGCGCCGGCCACTTACCTCGGGAGCCTTTCGTACTCATTCATCCTGTGTACCTCTCAAGTCCAGTTCCCTCCTTCTAGGCGGAATGTATTCTCTCTCTCTTGAGAAAGAGAGAAACTTGAGAAACCAGTGAAGTATTTGAGCTTTTAAAATGTTGGGAACATAGTGATCTAGTAGTCTTTCTCACAGTCAGCATCACCACTTAATCATTATATAGGCTATCAGTTTTAAAAAATGTCCACGTGGCACATCAAAGAAGAAGCTGAACACAATTATTCTCTCTCTTAAAGTTAGTATTTTATCCATTCCTTTAGATTATGCTTTTTGCTCTCCTCAAAACTCTCTCCCAAATAGCAAATAGGTAAACAACTGAAAAATAAAAAATGACAGATACGTAGCATTGTGGGAAGTTTTTACAAACATTCAGGCATAACTCCAGTTGATTCACACTGGTATTTTTTTTATATAGGGAGAGGAGTTTTAGTATTGACAGTTTACAGAAAAGGAAATTGATACCACAATTGACTCACTGCCTTTGCCACTGTTCCCCCATCCATCTAGGAAATGAACTGGTGACTCTGCACTTAGCCCCTGCCCACCCCATCCTCTGCCTTCTGTGTCCCTCAGCTGGCATCCTCTGGCTTCCTGAGCTTCCAGTTCCTCCAGGATGCCTCCAGTGCAAGGCCCTGGCAAGAGACTGAAGATAGGAAGAGGGCCCCACAGTTCCACCACTTCTTCTAAGAAGAGTGGTGACTGGACTGCGTGAAGCCCAAAGAAGCCGATAGAGCAGGGAAATTCATTCACACATTCCCGGTAAAACATGGCTCACAGCAAGCAAGTCCAGTCCAGCGTCTTTCCTTGACAGCATCTGCCACTGACTGGAAGCTTCACATGTAACAGATTCCCATCTCAGACATGTGAAAAGAACTGTACTCTGTAAACTGCCTCCCAGCTTAGGTATCAAAATAATTGAAATTAGCATCATTTTCCATTTAGCCCATGTTCTCTCTCTGCTCCCTGTTCTTTTCCCTTTCCTACTTAATTAGAGACAGGGTCTCACTATGTTGGCCAGGCTGGTCTTGAACTCCTGGGCTCAAGTGGTCCTTCCACCTTGGCCTTTCAGAGTTCTGGGATTACAGGTGTGAGCCACTGCACCCAGCCTCTCTTTTCTACTTATTCTAGATTCTTCCTTTTCTACGATTCTGAGCTTCCCAAAGAGAGGTTTTTATCTGTTTCTTAGGCTCTATTTTTAAGTCAGTTCCTTTATCATTAAGGCAAAGAATGAGTGTGAAGACATGGAAATTGAGTAAGTATATTCCATCCTACCAGTAGATAGTGAACACAGATCATGGCAGGAAGTATGATTAGACCATATTACTGACTTTATAGGAGCATTTCTGTTTTTAAAAAAATGACTTTCTACAATGAATCATCACATATTTTGAGTTATTCCTATTCTCTTTGAGTTTTCTGGAATACATATTAGCCTCATTTTCACACAGACACCTCCACTCCTCTTACCCAAGTGATGAACAGTGAAAGAGAGGAAAATTTTTAATCAGGTACTATTAAAGGATTTAACTCCATGGCAGTATAGGATTGCATCTTACAGATTCTAACATACACCATGAGAGCAGAGGAGACATCATTTATGCATTGTAATTCAAAACAATCTGAACCTTGAATGCTATGCTGAAGCAGAATTGATTAGCTTGGCTATTAATACAATGAAATCACAGACTCTAAGGGTCAGAATGGACTTTATATGTTACAGTCTAGTGTTTCCTAATTCGGGGAACCCCTTGCGTGTCATATTTCGCAGAGAGCAAGTCACTGCTGTGCAGTTTTCTGCATACTTATGTGTATTTTAAAAAATTTGTTATTAACAACCAGATGGTTGTAGCTGTTATTATCTCTTTGGCACTTCTGGCTGACTATTGTTCCCACATTAGTAGTTTAACCAACTCTCCTTAAATGCTCTGAGTGGCCGCATATTCTTCTGCAACACAATCTGAAGACAGAGTTCTCCTCTCTTACAATGTCCAGTAGCCTCTTACGGTGCTGTTTAGGTCTTGGAACCTTCTGGTTGAACAGAATGGCTCTAATGATAATGCTATAATTTTCACTCACTGGCCCCGGTGTTCCTCTCAACACTGTCATGAACCAACTAACATCTTAATTCTCCAAATCAAACACCTCCAGTTTTCTCAGCCGTGTCTTTGTAGATACACTCCAACTGATCACTGTGTCTTTTTAAGTTTTCATACCACAAATTGAGGGAACATATCCTGTGAATGGACTTCTCTTAATACAGGCGTACCTCAAAGATCCTGTGGGTTCAGTTCCCGACATCCCAATAAAGTAAATATCACAAGAAAGGAAGTCACACAATTTTTTTGTTTCCCTATTACATTTAAAAGTTGTGTTTACACTATACTCAAGTGTGCAATAGCATTGTCTAAAAAAAGTACATAATTAAAAAGCACTTCATTGCTCACAAGTACTAACAGTCATCTGAGCCTTTAGAGTCGTAATCTTTTGACTAGTGGAGGGTCTTGCCTCTGTGTTGATGGCTGCTGACTGATCAGGGTGATAGTTGCTAAAGGTTGGAGTGGATGTGGAAATTTCTTAAGACAGCAATAAAGTTTGCCACATCAGTGGACTCTTATTTCATAGAAGATTTCCCTGTAGCCTGTGGTGCTGTTTCATAACATTTTACCCACCATAGAACTTCTTTCTAAATTGCAGTCAATCTTCTGATGCTGCTTTATCAACTAAGTTTATAAAATCTTCTAAATCCTTCATTGTAATTTGGACAGTGTTGACAGCATCTTCACTGGGAATACATTCCATTTCAAGAATCACTTTTTTTGCGCATCCGTAAGAAGCAGTTCCTCATTCATTCAAGTTTTATCATGAGATTGCAGGAATTCAGTCACATCTTGAGTCCACTTCTAATCCTTTTTTTTTTTTTTTTTTTTTTGACATGGAGTTTCGCTCTTGTTACCCAGGCTGGAGTGCAATGGCGCAATCTCGGCTTACCTCAGCCTCCGCCTCCCAGTTTCAAGTGAGTCTCCTGCCTCAGCCTCCCAAGTAGCTGGGATTACAGGCATGTGCCACCATGCCTGGCTAGTTTTGTATTTTTAGTAGAGACAGGGTTTCTTCATGTTGGTCAGGCTGGTCTCGAACTCCCGACCTCAGGTGATCTGCCCACCTCAGCCTCCCAAAGTGCTGGGATTACAGGCGTGAGCCACCGCGCCCGGCTCCACTTCTAGTTGTAATTCTCCTGCTGTTTCCACCACATCTGCAATTCCTTTCTCCATGGAAGCCCTGAATCCCTCAAAGTCATCGATGAGGATTGAATGAACTACTTCCACATTCCTGTTCATGTTGATTTTTGACTTATCATGAATCACAAATGTTCCTAATGGCATCTAGAATGGTGAATCCTCTCCAGGGGTTTTTAAATTTAATTTGCCTGGATTCACAAGAGGAATCACTAGCTATGGAGCTATAGTCTTACGAAATGTATTTCTTAAATGATAAGACTTAAAAGTCAAAATGACTCCTTGATCCGTGGGCTGAAGAATGCATGTTGTGTTAGCAGGCAGAAAAACATCCATCTCCTTGTACATCTCATCAGAGCTCTAGGGTGACCAGGTGCATTGTCAGTGAGCAGTAATATTTCTCAAGGAATCTTTTTTTCTGAGCAGTAGGCCTCAACAGTGGGCTTAAAACATTCAGTAAACCATGCTGTAAAATCCAAGCTTTGTTGTTACATTTATACAGCACAAGCAGATTTAGCATTAGATTTAGCATAATTCTTTAAGGGCCCTAGGATTTTCAGAATAGTATATGAGCCTTGGCTTCAGCTGAAGGTTACTGTCTCCATTAGTCCCTAACAAGAGTCCATCTGTCCTTTGAAGCTTTAAAGCTAGGCATTGACTTCTCCTCTCTAGCTCAGAAAGTCCTACATGACATCTTTCAATAGGAGGGTATATCATCTACATTGAAAATCTGTAGTTTAGTATGGCTGCCTTCATCAGTGATCTTAGCTAGATCTTCTGGATACCTTGCTGCAGCTTCTACATCAGCACTTGCTGCTACAACTTGCACTTATATGTTATGGAGACAGCTTCTGTCCTTAAACCTCATGAACCAACCTCCGCTAGCTTCCAACTTTCC